>NC_000004.12:116951684-117103199 GCF_000001405.40 Homo sapiens
ACAGAGAAAAGTATTAAGGCTTAGAGAAGTTTTTAAAAAAATATTGCCTGATTTCTACAGGATGGAAATGCTGAAGTCTGGATTTAAATCCAAACAAGTTGGGCTTTAAAAAAACCATATTCTTTCTAAAATACAGCACTACCACCACTGGATATCAAATGTTCTTTGGAAAATTTAAGTCACCTTTAACATTAATTCCAACAGGCTTCCAAAATAGTTATGTGAATGGATTAAGCTATAATATGATTCAGTCAGTATCTTTCATGACCACTTTATTTAGTCTATGAATGGATATATTTGCTAGGTTCTAATTTTCTGAGGTTGCAAACCAATTACCTAATTTCAGTTGCTGGAATGGTGTGGTGCATATTTGACAAATAAAAGAACAGTGCACACTTTTACATTGTGGTCTCTGAAGATCAGTTATATAATGATTTTTTCCATCTGCTGGAAAATATTACAATTATTGTCTCATCAAACACTCTGTTACACTTCAAGTAAAACTTCAAGCAAGGATTCTATGCTATTTTGGTGTATGATTTCCTTGAAAACCATTATTGATAAATATAATGATTCAGTCATAACACATATGCTTTAAATAAAAGTATAACACTAATATTCTACATTCTATGCATGTAGAAATGTTGCTGTTTGGATTATTTTTTTTCCTGGTCTAGCTAGATTAATATTTTAAAATTAGTATCTCACAATAGAATTTATGGAAAATTCTTTTTTATCTGACCATTCCCTGGACTACTTGTCTTTAGATCTAGACTATTTTGAATAGGAAAAGGAATAAAGGGCATTAGAAAACCAACAGAGGAAAGAAGAGAAAGAAAACTTAAATAGAACGAAAAATCATTATGAAATTAAATAAGGTAAAGGTAAAGATAAAGAAGGAATAAATGGAAAGAAATACGGCAAAGAAAGAGACTTTTCCAGACTCATTTTTGTAAATAATCTGTGACAGCTCACCTTGTGGAAGTGGAGTGGATGCCCAGGGCTGGAGTTGATTGGCAGCTTTGACTTTGTCTTGGGAATATCTCCCAGCAGTTGCTATTTTTACACAGCGGCTTGCTCTTAGTGGGGCCAATCAGAATTGTCTCAAAGATGATCTGGCAACGCCCAGATTCTTAGGAACTATTAAATAGGAACGCAAATAATAGTTTTTTCTGGAACTATGAAAAAAAAATAGTAGGAGGTTTAATACTATGGCTAAGGTTTAGTACTCACAATACTAAGTCAGAGTACAAGAGGCTAAGCAAACATTAAGAATAACCTCTTGGTGCTTTCTTCATTAACTACATAGGTTTTTCAATGTTTATTTTCCCCTCAACCTACTTCAGTGGCTTCTTGGCACACACACAAAAAAATGTGAGTTAAAACTTGGTGTATATAATGTACAGATCCCATGAAGTTATTCATTTTATTTTAAAACTGTTGGAAAATTATCACAGCCAAAAAGAGGCAGGCTCTGCCATAGGAATTAGGAGAAAATGAAGTGTATAAAGGAAAACCTAAGAGCTTAAAAATGAAGAGATCTGTGTATAAATCTTGGCTCAGTTTCTTACTGGCTGTGTGGCTTTGAATAAATTGAATGTGACCTTGAATAAATTACTTATTTTTCTGAGTCTGAGTTTCTTAATATAGAAAATAAAATAATAATATGTACTTATTATGATCACTATAGAATTAAGAAAGATAGCATATAAAAGTGCCTATTATAATAAATACATTGTCACTGCTAACACTAGGTGACTATTATTATAATTGATATTTTAAAAATAATGGATGAAAAGGTAACTTCCACAGTGATTGCTTGAATAGCCAAAAAATTTCACATAGTTTCATTCCTTTTGGCACAATGAAATATTCAGGTAAATTCCTTAGAAAACCCTAAATATTAACAGCCATTTTTCTAATACTGAGAAAAAATACCCTCTTTTGTCTTTTTTTGTCAACTCTGTCTCTAGCATCACATTGTCAGAGCATGAAGAAGCATTGGAACACACCATCATCCATAAATTTATCTAATAAAATGAAAATAACAAATGTTTATTAAATATGAAGTTTATGCATTAGAAGTTGAGAAACCATATAGGATTGAATGTAGACCCTGGAAACATATTATTATCACCTTCCTGTTTTCAATTAAAAACATTTTTTGTCTGTCTAAAGCTTAGTATCTTTTGATATTATGATAAAAATAAATATCTGCTTTGTTCAGCAGCAAGATTTGGACAAAAAATTCAATTAACTCTGAGAAAGCATTTTCTTTTTTGTTTTCCTAACTTAATAACAATCTTTTTCTTTCACTAGAAGTCCTTTTGTAGTGATGTACAGGCTCAATATGTTCTATAGATAACACAACATAAGATGAAAATGTGCAGAAATAAAATAAATGGTGTATGAAGATCATCTGTTGTCCGCAGGCAGTGCATTGGCAGCAATTCCGTTTGCTTTACTGCAGTCTTGACAGGCATCCTGCTCCCTGATGGCAGTGCTAACATGCTTTGGCAGTAGCTGCAAAAGCAGCTTTGGGTGATTAAATCTCAGTCTTTTTGTCAGGAAACTGTCTGTGATGTCTTTTCTGAAAACGACATTATGTCTTATTACAAACCATTTTACTTCTCCATAGACAGGCATTACCAATTAAAAGTGTTCATAAAACATGTTTCATTGTTCAGGTCCTTTACCTTTTCTATTTTAGGTGACAGTGTGGTTTACATGCTCATTAGGAAGAAGCTAAAAATATAGAAATTTTTTTTTCTGTGAACACTGAATTATTCATATGACTTGAAATCTAAATGTATATGCTTATTTTGTTTTCTTTATAAGCAAGATAATGAAATTTATTATTGCTCTTCTGGATTTAAGGGTTCTTTCAGCAATTTGAATATGTAGTATCCTTACCTTCTGGTTTGCATTGTTTCTGGTAAGTCAGCTGAAAATATTATTGGAGTTACCCTGTACATGAGTTGTTTGTCTCTCACAGCTTTCAAAATTTCCTCTTCCTCTTTTTCTTTCAACATTTTTGTCTTAATGTGTCTGGGTGTGGATCTCTTTGTATTTTTTCTTGCTTGTAGTTTATTGAATCTCTTCATGTGAGGTTGATGTTTTTATCAAATTAGTGATATTTTAAGCAATTAATTCTTAGAATACATTCTAAGAATTATTTACATATAAATTTAAAGATCTCTTTCCCCTCTTCTGGTAGTCTCATTATGTGCATGTTGATACATGCAAGAGTATCCCGTATTTCGTTGAGAGTATGTTTATTTCTTTAACTTCTATTTCAGTTCTTCTGATTGCATAATTTTTATTGATCTATCATCAAGTGTACTGATTATTTCTTCCTCCAGTTCAATTTTGACTTCAACTATTTTACATTTCAACTACTGAAATTTCATTTGATTCTTTTATATAATTTATTTCTCTCTATTGGTATTTCTATTTCATGAGACATCACCATGGAATCTTCTTTTACTTGTTAAAGCATAATTTCCTTTAGTTCATTTTTCCTGTTAAATCTGATATCTAGACCCTCTCACAGGAGATTTCTGTTGCCTGTCTTTCTGCCTGCATTTAGTCTCACTTTCTTGCTTTATTAAATGTCGTATAAAGTTTTTTTAAAATTGGAAACTCTAATATATTGCAGCATCTCTGGTCACTGGCCCAAACTGAGGAATTGCTTTTGGGTTGTTTACTCATTTATTTGCTTAGTGACTTAGTTCGAGTATTTTTCTAAGATGCAATTCTTATATATGTGAAGCCTATGATGCCATTCCTCAGGGTGCACTAACTAGGTTTGTACACAGTCCTTTGAGAGAACGGTGGTTTTATCTAAGCTTTTCTTTGATCTTTCTGTTCATTTTTTGCCTTTGTTAGCATTATACTCAGCTTTTAGGCTTCTCTAGCTGAGGTTTCTTGCACAAATGTCTGAGACAATGACCTGGGACATTAATTGATTCACAATGAGTCAATTACATTCAGCCTTTCTTCAGGGGTATTTTTTGAAGCTAGTTGTTAATGTGTGTTTTCATACCAGAAAAGTACTTTTTAAGTGTAGCTTCTCCTGATTTTCTCTGGTAAACTACTTAGACTAATGTTTAGCTTCTAGTTTTCATGGAGTGACCAGCCTCCTTTTGTTTGCCACCAAAATCTCCATTATTTTGAGAGTTCATGTAGGCTTGAACTTTCTTAGATTCCGTTACATAGTCAGGTCCAATGGGGAGATCTTGAATTCTTGGTTATTAGGGCATGGACTTTACACTGGCAGATTATCCGAGCTACTTCTATGGAGTTGGAGTCAGAGTGTTGCCTCCTTTTCTCAAAGGGAAAAACTCTATGAGTAGGGAGGTGGATGGGGGCAGTATGCTCTGCCCTTCTTTACTTCAGCCTTTTAGCTTGAAATCTCTGTTCTAAGAGCACAGGGAGGCTCCAGCTTTCTCAGCGTGTCATTCCTAGGGTAGAGCCTTCATCCCATGGATGAGGACTGGGTGGAGGAAGAGAGCCCGTGACCTCATGGTATCCCTAATCTAGAATTTAACCTCTGCAACACCAGGCTGGAGGGACATGAAATGATGATGGCCTGACCCTTTAGGTGAAATAACATAGTCCATAACTGCTACCTGGGGGAAAGGGTACCCCATTCTCTTGGCCATTATCACCCGAAATGGAGCTTGTGACACACTGTACTGAGGAGTTCAGGACGCAGGTGATGGCACAAGTGCCACAGACACTTCTTGTTCTTTTAGAAATGTAGTATATTTTATTGAATATACTCTAGGGAGAATTTTCATACACTTTTAAATTTTATTATTGTTATTTATTTATTTTCTATATGTATGAGTTTATAGGGTAAAAGTGCAATTTGTTTACATGCATAGATCTCGTAGTGGTGAAATCTGGGCTTTTAGGGTTTCCATCAACAAAATAACATGCATTTGTCCATTAAGTAATTTCTCATCATCCACTCCCAGTAACCACAATCTACCAGGTTTCCATGGATATATTCTACCATGGATATATTCTATATCCATGTGTACACATTATTTAACTCCCACTTATAAGTAAGAACATGCAAAGTTTATCTTTCTGAGTCTGACATTTTTCACTTAAGATAATGTCCTCTAATTCCTTTGTTGGTATTATACTCAGCTCTTAGGCCTCACTAGGTGAAGTTTGTTGCTCAAATGTTTGAGACAATGATCTGGGCCATAAATTGATTCATGCTGCTTAGGAAGATATTATTTTATTCTTATTACGGCTGAATAATATTCCATTGTGTTTGTATACCACATTTTAATCCAATCATCTATTGATGAACACAGGTCAATTCCATGTGTTTGCTGTTGTGAATAGTGTGGCAATAAATATCAGTGCAGGTATTTTTTAATATAATGATTTATTTTCCTTTGGATAGATAACCAGTAGTGGGACAGCTAGATCAAATGTTAGTTCTAGTTTTAGTTCCTTGAGGAAATCTCCATACTGTTTTCCATAGAGGATGTACTAGTGTACATTCCCACCAGCAGTATATGAGTTCTCTTATCTGTGCATCCTTACCAACATCTGCTGTTTTAAAACTTTTTAATAATTGCCATCCTGACTTGGGTAAGAGGATATCTCATAATTTTAATTTGCATTTCTCTGGTGATTAGTAATATTAAACATTTTTAATATATCTCTTGGCCATTTGTATGTCTTATTTTGAAAAATGTCTATTCATACCTTTGCCCACATTTTAATGAGATTATTTTGTTTTTGTTGAGTTGTTTGAGTTCTTGTATATTTTAGATAGTAGACCCTTGCTGGATACATAGTTTGCAAATATTCTCTTTCATTCTGTATGTCTTCTGTTCACTCTCTTAATTATTTCTTTTTCTGTACAGAAGCTTATTAGTTTAATTATGTCTCAGTTTTCTATTTTAGTTTTTGTTGCCTGTGTTTTTGAAATCTTAATCATAAATATTTTGCCTTGACCAATGTTCAAAAGAGTTTCCCTAGGTAAGTTTCTTCTAGTATTTTTATAGTTTAAGGTCTTATATTTAAATCTTTAATCAATCCTGAGTTGATTTTAGTATATAATGAGAGATAGAGGTCCAGCTTCATCCTGCATATGACAATGCCAGGACCATTTATTGAAAAAGGTGTCCTTTTCCCAGTGTATATTCCTGTCAACTTTGTCAAAAGTCAGTTGATTGTAAATATGTGGTTTTATTTCTGGGTTTTCTATTATCTTCCATTGATCTGTGTGTCTATTTTTGTACCAACTCCATTCTGTTTTGCTTACTATAGCCTTGCAGTACAATTTAAAGTCGGGTATTGTGATACCTCCAGAGACTTTAAGTGTTTTTGTATTTCTTCTATTTTTGTTTATAATTTTCACCAATTGTTTTTATTTTCCTGGTGAGTGAGACTTCAGGATTTCTCAAATCACCATTCCAGAATTATATGTGGTTCTTTTAAAGTAAGTTAATTCGGGAAGTTTTATGGAGTCAAATAGATAGTCACTTGAGATAAACTAAAATAAGTTACTAGTGTTTATTATGAATTACATGCACATTAACACAGACACAAACTCTCAAGAATGGCACCAAACCTAGTCAAATAATTATAGCAATTATCTTGAATATTGGTCAGGAAGAACCAAAAATCTTTAAAAATATTGGTCCCAACAAATATATATATTAAAAATCAGACACAAAAAACTCAAATAATTACCAGGTAACATAACTGCATGGCAGACAAAGGGTATTTATAGGAAAACAAAATATTCAGTACCCCGTAGGTTATACTTACAAAGTCTGAAATTCCAGTCAAAGATTACTAGACATGCATAACACTGGAAAATAATACATATAGTGAGAAGTAAAAGCAATACAATCAGTCAGTATAAACAAACCCATAATGGATAAATAAACTTGAATAAATAGACACAAGTTTAATATGTGATTATGGATGCATACTATACGCTCAAGAAGATAAGTAGAAATATGGAAGATATATAGGAGACCAAATTCAAACTTTTACAAATGAAATTTACAATGTGTGAGATTTTAAAAATATATTCTAGATAAGATAAATGTACTTGATGATAAACAAAAATTGTAGGAAAAAAGGTTAGTAAATTTTAAGACAAAAAAATAGAAACTAAAACAAAAGCAAATAAAAAATTAACATAATTAAAAGTATGTGATTGGGCTGTCAATAAACTTTAAACATTCTAATATACATGGAAAAAGCTGAGGTAGAGGGAAAATATTTGAAAAAAATAATGACAGTGTTTTTAAAAATTGTCAAATAATATAAACCCATAGATCCAAGATCCTCAAGCACTATATAGATGAGGAAAACTTCAACAATGCACTTCATAACATAATGAAATTTCTCACAACCAGTGATGAACAGAAAGTCATAAGAGGAGACAGAAAATAAGACACAATGTACTGTAGAACAAGAGTAAAAATGACAGCACAGTTTTTGTCAGAAACAATTGGAGCTAGCAGATAGTGAAAACATACCCTTACAATAGGAAAATAAAAATATAATCCCTTACTCAGCAAACTGTATTTTAATAATGAAGAAAAAATAATTACTTTTTCAGATATGCAAAAGCTGAAACACTTTTTCACCAGCAGATCTGCACTATAGAAAATAGTAAAGAAGGACTTTTACAGTGAAGGCTTATGATACTAGATACAATCATGGATTGACAAACAGAAATAAAATGCAGAAATAAAACAAAATGGCAATGACATGGGCAAATATACAAGCTGCTTTACTTACCATTAAATCTCTTTAAATATAATTGACTTTAAAGAAAAATAGCAACATATTATGGGATGTATAACAAGTAAAATTCATGAGAAACATAGCATAGAAGCAGACAGGAGAGAAAGCTATAACATTGAAAGGTTTTCATAATATACACAAAATAATAGAATATCTTTAAAATTAGAGGGGTAATAAGGTAAATATATATACTATAAAACTCTAAAGTAATCCTTACAACAAATACAAAAAATAGCTTGAAGTCAACAAAGGGGAGAAAATGAAATTATGAAAAAATTCAGTGGAAAGGAAGGTAGAATAAACATGAGATGGAACAAATAAAAACCAAAGAGCTTGATGCCTAAATAGAACCAAATCAATAATCATGTACAATGTAAATGGTATCTGAACACATCAATAAAAGTCAGAGACTTTCAGATTAGATCTCTCAGAAAAGCAAAATGCAACTCCACGTTGCCTAGAAGAAATACAGATGTGATAGGATTAAAAAAATAAAATACAAGTGAACTTCATTAGTAGGAAAAACATATCAATTTCTGGGCTCAAATTTAAGCACTAAACTGGAAATAGATTAATTTATAGAAAAAAAATGTCTGAAGTTAAAAGAACTCTCATGCAATGTTCTAAACATTCTTAATGCAGTCAAGTACAAGTCCAGCTCAGTAATTGAGAGTATGAGTTAGGTACTTGGCTTAAGAAAAGTAAAATTTAGAAATAGTCATTGAAATCAATTAAGGACAATTGGAAGGTTAAAGGATACAGAAGATTTAAGTGAGGTTAGAAGACATAGTAATTGAGTGGCATTAATCTGTGTATTTTTATTTGTCCCCAGGAAGTTTTAGATTACTCCATTGCAGGAGTGAAAATGTCAGCTAATAGTATATATTCAACATCTAAATATCTAAAAGTTTTTTATGTCTTCCTTTTTTTTCCTTATTCCAGTTTCTGTTTGTCTTCTGCCTGTCTTCCCTTCTTCGTTCCATGGTTTCTTCCTTCTTCCTTCCATAGGCATACTTCTTTTCTTTCTTCTTTTTTGATTATTTCATTTTCTTTTTCTTTCATTCTTTCTTTCTTTCTTGCCCTTTTGCATTCTCTCTTTTCCTCTCTCTTTTCTTCCATTCTTCATTCTTTTCCTTCTTTTTTGTCCCTTCCTTTTGTTCCCCGTTTTTGTTAAAATATTTACGTGGCAAATACTGTGATAAAGGCATTATGATTAACAAAAATGTAAAATTGTTGGCTATGGACTACTCTTTGGGATACGATTAAACATTTCACAAAACCAAGTGATGTAACAGACGCATTTTCGTTGAGTCCTAGAGAATTGTTACATAGCCGGGTTCATATTCTCAGAAAATATTCTAATGAAGCTATCAAATCAATTGTCTCATTATTTCCTTCATCAACCTACCTACTTGAATAAATGAAAATATTAATTTTAAGAGAAGCTCTAATCAAATAATAAGTTTATATTGAAGAATATTAATACATTATTCAAAATAGAATCTGAAATATTCAACTCCAGTTTGAGATCTTTTACTCATTTGAAAATGCAAGTACAAATTTGTGTCTTATTTATGCTCTTTTGATAAACTGTCTAATCTCATCAGATATGTGAATTCAGCTGGGTTCACTTTAATTTTGGGGTTCTGTGATTATCAGAATTATAAAATGGTCCTTCAAGATTTCCTGCACAAAAACCAAAGAATGTAAATATGATGAGATATTATGAACCTACTATGTTATGTCACACTGAAAAATAAATTTTTCAGTTGATTTTGAGTTATACTTACTCATAAATATATTCATTTTGATTTCTTTAGAATGTGGAGACTAAGAAAGCAAACCTTTGTGACTTGCCTAATAAATATCTTCTTTCTAGCTAATCAGAATTAATTAATTCAGTGCACTGCAACAGTGATGTTGCTTTGATATTTAACAGGTCATGCTGCTTGTTAGAAAAACTATTTTATTTTGAAAAATGAGAAAGGTATATTAAAAATTGCAAGGCTGTGGTCTTGTTCTATTCGCTCTGCCAGCAAGGTATTTTTCAACGTGTATTTGTCCATAGAAAAGTAAATTTAAAAATTACTTATCTCTGTTTGCATATCTGTATTGTTGATTTATATATAATATTTGTAGATATTCCTGGAAAAAACTTGCAGACATTTGATATCAGGAAGAGATTTATGGACCTGACATATCATTTTCTGTTAAGGTATTCAAATCTTCAAAATTTGTGCTTAGAGTCTCTAATTTATTAGCATAGTCTAATGATTATATCTGCAATTTTTCTTTGTTTCTTGGCAAAGTAAAAAGTAGTGCAACAATGATATTTTATAAAGAATAAAATCCTTTTGTGAAATATGTTTCTGTAGCTCATTTAAGAGAAACTGAGCCTAAAAGTAGAACAGGAATATCTTTCTTATTATGATAACTTCAGCCCACTTGCAACATCTGGAAATACATCTCTTATCCCCAAGGCAGATAAAGTACATTCTTTACAGTAAAGACAGGACTGATTGAATAGTTTAGGCAGGGCTCCTCTTACAGTTACCTGTTGGAAAGATGGGGCTATAAATAGTTTTCTTATAAAATGGCAACCTATACATAATGTCCCAGATATCATGAAAATAATTTGTAAAATTATTCAAATATGAATAATATGTCACGCTATTAAATGGATTTTACAGATGATTCATGTAGGATCTTTAAACATTTTGAGAAATAATACTTTTTAAAAATATAGAAAACATATAAACATTATATCTAGAGAAAATCATACTATGTAGATTTTCTCAAAGTAGATATTCATAAATATGCTACAGAGCCTGACTCAATATATTCTCTTAAAATAGTGTCTGCTTTATTGCACTGTAGAAAAAAAAGTTTTCTAGATGTGTTCGCTAGTAAGACAGCAACGGAGAAGTCCTCATTAACTCCCATTAACTGAAACGTATGTGAATGGAAAATGCAGTCATCAAATTTATATGTTTAAAAGCTAGGAAGATAACTTATGCTAATTAAAAAGCATAAAGAGAAATATAGTTGACCTTTGAACATTGTGGGTTTGGAGCTGCACAGGTCCATTTACATGTGGATTTTTTTTCCAATAACAATTTCACCTAGCACGCCTGCCTTCCCTTCTACTTCCTGCACCTACTCCACCTCTGTGACAAGACCAACCCCTTCTTTCCCTCTTCCTCCGCTTCTGACTGAACATAAACATGAGAAAGATGGAGACTTTTATGATGGCACACTTCCTCTTAATTAATAGTAAGTACATTCTCTCTTCCTTATGATTTTCTTAATAACATCTTTTACTCTAGCTTACTTTATTATAAGAATACAGTATATACTGTATATAACGTACAAAATATATGTCAAGTGACTGTTTATATTATAAATAAGACTTCCAGTCAACAGTAAGCTATTAGTAAAGTATTTGGAGACTCATGTTATACGCAGATTTCCAGTTGAGTGGGGATTGGCGTCTCTAACTCCAGCATTGTTCAAGGGTCAAATGTTCATATGCATGTGTGTCGCTCTATTATTTCTTTTATTAAGGTTTGTTGAGGAAATTTATGTTTTACTTTGAATGAAGCTTATACTAGTTATTCATAATTTTTTATACTAGTAATTCATAACTCCAATGTTTAAATCAAGTATTCTTATACAGATATTAAACATATTAAAGTATTATTACTTAATAGTAATGCAATTATTCAATATGTATTCTTTTTTGGGTATGAGTTTTTTTGCTTATCATTGTGAAATATAGAAAAATTTTGATGTATCAATATTTTGTTGTTTTTTAATTGTTGTAAAGCAGAATTACATTCCCACAATGGGTTTAATCATTCCCTTTAATAACTTTTTAAAAAAAGTCTTAAAATATTATTAATAAATAACCTTTGAACATCAGGGTATTTTTTAGGGGTCAGAATTGCTAATTTATTTTGGATTAAAGCCCAGTAACTAAGATACAGGGTCATAAACTCTAAGAAAATTTAGTTTAGTAGATGTCACCAAACTTTAGTTGAAAATGGTTATGTCCATGTATACTCCTACCAGATAGTCACAAGAATTTCAGCTGCTCCACAACAATGCTTGGAATTTTTATTTATTTAAAAATATTTTCAATATCTCATCCATTCAGGTTGCACTACTGTGTTTGGATTTAGATGAAATATCACACTGTGGTTATTGATATTAGGCTTCCTGAACAGTTGTCAATAAACGAAATTACACAACTTGTAAATGTGAGGAATTGTGTTCCCGATGAGGTGAACCTTTGTAGAGAAGTCTCTAATGCAGAGTAAGTCCCTAAGTCACTTAGCGCAGAGACTAACTGACACTGTTGATCTCTTCTCAGCTTATTGTGGAATGGTAGCCTCACAATAAGCTATTACATCACATTGCTTTGCATCTTTATTTACCTCACATTATTTGCACCTTGGACTTCCACCTCCCAAATAAAATACCAGATCTCTAAAACTTGCCTCAGATTCTAATATTTAGAGGACAATGACTAAGAATACTACTTTTTAAACTGCCTCCTTCATAGAAGTGGGGACTGACTAACATGTTTATGTAAGAAAACACTTGACCTATTAGCCACCATCGACTATAGGGAACTTAACACTATATGTTTCTTTATATATGTTTATTCTAGAAATATAAAATTATACTGATAAACACAAATCTAAGTCTCTAATATTTTAACACTTCTAGGAATTATTGTATTTTCAGTCATCTTTAATCTATTTTAGGGCCTAGCAATATACTTTACAAATTCTGAATAACCATTAAATATTTTTAGAAGGAATGAATTAATGAGGTTCATAATCTTGTAAGCAATCCTTTAGGACTCTTTTGTCAATATCTCTATTTATGGTTCCTCTGAGTTCAACGTCTCTTAAGAATCCTATAGTTCCTACAAAATCATATTTTGTTTTATCTGTCTTATCTATCTATCTATCTATCTATCTATCTAATTACATGTCTATCTATTTAGGTCAACATCCAAGAATTAACTGGTTGTACAGAATACTCATTCCCCAGTGGCTGGAATAAGAGAATGATGGATTGGCTCATTGAAGATAGCTTCAATTGGAAGACCACACCATGTTTGTATTACAGAAGATAAATGTATAGTTTTATTTGTCCATAACCAGAATACATGGTCTAAAAACAAAGATGTGAAAGTAGAGTAAATCTTCTCACTATTATGCCTAGTAAGCCATTTAAGAATTTTTTTTTCCCCAACTCACAACATTACTGGTTTGAGGGGAAAGATTTTACCAGGAACACAAAAATGGATCCACTGATGTTCAAGTTGCAACTTGCACTTGGCCATTTGCCATGTGTAATTCCAATGAAGCCACAGATAAAATGTGAATTAGTCTAATGGCTGACATGATTGAACTCAACTGACAAGGGAATATTGGACTATTCATGGAAATTAACTCTTGTACATTTTTCCTTTACTAGTTTTAATCTGTATCCTCCCTTTCCCATACACTGTAACCATAAGGGCAACAGGTTTTTCAGTCCTATAAGTCATTGAGCCCTCTCATCTGACAAAGCAAGGAAATATGTGTATATAATAAACCATGTATATGCACATTTCCACAAATATTTTTGTATTTGCACCTCTGTTATGCCAAATGTAAATTCATATAGTTCTTCCACTTCAATCTGTTACCATGTCAATTATTGTAAAATCCTACCCTTATGTTTATACAACCAATCTCTCAACTGAGACACACTCCCATTATCCACCATTCATTTATTTCATTGTTCAACTCCAGTATACCTTTTTAGTTGTTCCAGATTTGTTAACTTGTACAACTATGGGAAACTACTTTATCAACTAGTGTTCAGTGCTTATGTGAATGTCCTCATGCTTTAGTGTTACAGTCTCCATTCATTTCTACATTGGTTAATCTTCCACTCACACCTGCAAGGATCATGAAGGTATCTGTTTAGGATATTCACTTGATAACCTGGTGGGGTTCCTGCAGGTAATACTCATAAAAATGTGACATTATCTTCTATCTTCTCAGGATAGAACAATTTCAATTTCAACAAAGTCAATGATTTCAACAACAGTGACACATTTCTTCTTCTCTTCATTATTTACATTTTTTTCAAATTCCTAAGAAGTGTGATTTCTAAAGTACGGTTGCTGCCTAGGTTAGTTATGTTTATTAATGTATGTTCTTCCATGAAAAGCAGATAATTAAACTTTTTCTAATGTTTCACTACATATCTTAATTCAGTTTGACTCAAAAAGCTTTCAGTAACTACAGTTATATGCCATGTGTTGTTTCAGATCCTGGCAAGCAAGACATGAGCAAGATTATATCCATATTAAGATCTTAGTACTGGTTCACTGGAAGACCTAGAAGTTGGAAACTGATAGCAATTCTTTACAACAATGAAAACATCTAAACAATGACTGACCATCACCCTCTCAGTAAAGTAGATAGCATATATTTCACTTAATGAACACAGTTTGATTGCACAACTTTATGGTCTAGAGAAAGAATTTGAGATCAAAAAGAGTATTCAAAGTACCTTGGCCTTTTATGATTACAACTAACTATACATTTAACATAGCTGAAATTCAATTTTGGAGACTTGGATTTGATAGATATTCAGTATGCTTTCTCATTCAATTATACTATTTTAAAATAATATATAACTTTAAAATTTTTGTTTTTAAATGCCTGCTTAAATATATTTTATGACCTTATGACAAGTAGATATTTCCAACATTTTTTTCTTTCTATGATAAGAGCATTTACCTCCTCTCTATTTGTGAATTCAAGACACTGATTAATGACTATTTAACAAAATACAGAATGAGTAGTTGCCCAACCAAAGACTGTTTACTGATTTGCGAAATGAATGGAACTTTTTTCTTGTGAATTTAGGTAGTGAATATTTAAAGACAAAGATATTAAATAAAACTGCATACACAGACATGCACACATGGGGAAGTGTTACTCTGCAGATACAATTAATGACAAAATCTGATCTTTAGGATACTGATCTTATGGGATTGCTTATACTGTAGGTCATTTCAAGCAGGCAAAAATAAGTGAATATAATACATCTTGATAAATGAAAGAAATAACTCTCAAATATCTGACAACCAGCATCTCCTCATTTTCTTCCAAGAGTATGAGAGAAAAGGAATAATTTTGATTTTTAAGGTGAAAAATCTGTTATAACTGCTGGTGGTATTCACTGAACCTCCCTTTCTTAGGAAGCACAAGGATGTCTTGGCTCTAACTTCTTCATGAATTTACTGACATTCTCTTATGAGATAGACCAAAGACATCAGCTTAATAAATAAACTTCAGCTGAGTACATAAAAGAGCAACTCTTAATACCCACACACAAATATTTTTAAACCAAATGATTTATACATATATTCCTAGTTTTCTTTATGAAATGCTTAATCTCAAACCAAGAGTCACTATCTGGGGCCTCATAAACAGCCAGCATCTGAGCTCCTAAATGAACCAAGCTTCATAGGCCTATGGCTCCTAGGTACAATTTTTTAGTGGCATGAGTCAAAGTATAAGAAAAAAATCAAAGTCAGTTTTGAAAGGCAAAACTGATGGCACACTCTTTAATTGAATACAGCTGACAAGGCATTTGAAAGGAATTGTTCATAAATATTTAAAAGGACTCTTAGGGCCATAATTAACATCGTACTACATTAATTTGACTAATATAGTTTGTTTTCTTTCCAATTGAAGAATAATTCATTTACTGAATAAAATAGTTTCAGCTTTGCTGGCTTTAATTTTTGCAGCTTAGTAGTTTTAATTTAGCATCTTGTGTCTACCCATGGATTTGTAAATGCTGCTAATTCATCAATAGTAGGTAAATCCAATCTACATTCTAAATAAGTTAGAGCTGAAGCAGCTGATTGCCGTCATCAAGTAACTTATTAGTAATTCTTTCCATTCCTTGTTCTTTAATGGGTTGTGTAGGTTTATTCTTTATTACATTGATAAAATGAAAGCTGATAAGGAAAGTTAGAGGTGAATGGCAGTTGAGCACATGTACTGGAAATGGAAAGAACAGCAACGGTATGATTTCAGAAGTGTTGAAGATGGTATGTCAGATGAATGACACATGGTTGAAATATATGTTTACCTATCACATATTATCATATTGTAATAACAGTTGCAGAGCTATGCTGTCATTCACATTTTGTATTTTTTTTTTTTGGATTTCTGTTTCAATTTTTCTTTCTCTTTAATAGGATGGATTTAACTATTGTATTAGTCCATTCTCTTGCAACTATGAAGACATACTAAAAATTGGGTGATTTATAAAGAAAAGAGATTCAAATGACATACAGTATGCATGGCTGATGAGGCCTCAGGAAACTTAGAATCATGGTGGAAGGCACCTCTTCACAGAGCAGCAGGAGAGAGAATGAGTGCTTAGTGAAGGGAGAAGTCCCTTATAAAACCATCGGATCTCATGAGAATAATCCCCTTGACACATGGGGATTGTTACAATTCAAGGTGAGATTCAGGTAGCAACACAGAGCCAAATGATATCATTTTACTACAGGTCCCTTCCAACTCTCACGTCTTCACATTTCAAAACACAATCATGCTTTTTCAACAGTCCCCCAAAGCCTTAACTCATTCCAGAATTAACCCAAAAGTCCAACTCTAAAGTCTTACCTAAGACAAAGTAAATCTCTTCCACTCATGAGCCTGTAAAATTAAAAGCAAGTTAGGTACTTCATAAATACAATGGGGGTACAGGCATAGTGTAAATATACCCATTCCACATGGGAGAAATTGACCAAAATGAAGGGGCTACAGGCCCCATGCAAATCCAAAATTCAATAGAGCAGTCATTAAAGCTTCAAGTTCCAAAATAATCTCCTTTGACTCCATGTTTCACATCCAGGTCATTCTGATGCAAGAGGTGGGCTCCCATGGTCTTGGGCAGCTCCACCTCTGTGACTTTGCATGGTACAGCCCCCCTCACAGCAGCTTTCAAAGGCTGGCGTTGAGTGCCTGCAGCTTTACCAGGTGCAGAGTGAAAACTATAGGTGGATCTATCATTCTGGGGTCTGGAGAATGGTGGCTCTCTTCTCACACTTCAACTAGGCAGTGCTCCAGTGGGGACTCTGTGTGGGGGCTCCAACTCCACATTTCCCTTCTGCACTGCCCTAGCAGAGGTTCTCCATAAGGGCTTTGCTCCTATAGAAAACTTGTGCCTGGATATCCAGGCATTTCTATACTTTCTCTGAAATCTAGGCAGAGGTTCCCAAACCTCAATTCTTGACTTCTGTGCACCCACAGGCTCAACATCACATGGGATCCACCAAAGCTTGGGGCTTGCACCCTCTGAAGCAATGGCCCAAGATGTACCTTGGCCCCCTTTAGCCACAGCTGGAGTTGAAACATCTGGGACACAGGGCACCATGTCATGAGGCTGCACAGAGCAGGGGGAGCCTAGGCCCAACCAAGGAAACCATTTTTCCCTCCTAGGCCAACAGGTCTGTGATGTGATGGGCTGCCATGAAGGTCTCTGACATACCCTGGAGACATTTCCCCCATTTTCTTAGTGATTAACATTCTGCTCCTCATTACTTATGCAAAGTTTTCCCCAGAAAATGGGTTTTTCTTTTCTATCACATCTTCAGGCTGCAGATTTTGCCAACTTTTCCTCTTAAACACTTTGCCACTCACAAATTTCTTCCACCAGATATCCTAAATCATCACTCTGAATTTCAAAGTTCCCCAGATCCCTAGGGCAGGAGCAAAAGGCCACCAGTCTCTCTGCTAAAGCACAGCAAGGGTCACCTTTGCTCCAGTTCCCAAGAAGTTCTTCACCTCTATCTGTACGACCTCAGTCTGGACTTCATTGCCAATAGCACTATTAGCATTTTGGTCAAAACCATTTAACAAGTCTCTAGGAAGTTCCAAATTTTCCCACATTTTCCTGTCTTTTTCTGAGCCCTCCAAACTGTTCCAGCCACTGCCTCTAACTCGATTCCAAGTTGCCTCCACATTTTCAGGTATCTTTATGTCTGCTTTATAGGCCGGCCTCTTTTCCAGGATTCTTCCTTTAGGGTGGGCTGCCTGTGTGTGCAATCTCCTCCTTACCCGTGGTAAGTGAGCATGTGCAGTTCGTTTAGGAAGTTGTGTGATGCCCATCTAAGGCTTTCTTCCCTTTTCTGGTGGTGTGCCCTTGGAAAGTCATATTGCTCCATTTTGTCTCTTAATACTCATGCCCAGGAATTTGCTTCTCCCTGGTACAGGCTTTCAGTGAACACTTTAGTGCAACAGATGTGGACTATCAGGAAATGGCCTCTCCCTGGTGCTGTTTGCCAATTTATCACTTTTAGAGAGGCAATGGGATAACTGCCAAACAATCACTTGACATTTGTGGTGGGTGGATGGAAGCCCTCTCCTGCCCTGCGTATGCCTGTCTAACTACCTGTAACATATGGGGGACTATGGGGAAGGCATGATTGATTTTGAAATTTGAAAAGGAAATAAGATTTAGGAGGGGTCAGAGGCAAAATGATATAGTTTGGCTCTTTGTCCACATTCAAATCCCATCTCAAATTGTAATCCCCATATGTTGAAGGAGGGGCCTGGTGGGAGGTGATTGGAACATGTGGGCATTTTCTCCCTTTCTGTTCTTATGATAGTGAGTGAATTCTAACAAGATATGATGGTGTTAGAGTGTGGCACATTCCCCCTCACTCTCTCCTCTTCTGCCACCATGTAAGATGTGCCTTGCTTCCCCTTCCACCATGATTGTAAGTTTCCTGAGGCCTCTCCAGCCATGCAGAACCATGAATCAATTAAACGTCTTTTCTTGATAAGTTACCCAGTCTCAGATAGCTCTTTATAGCAGTGTGAAAATGAGCTAATACAGGGAGTATTTAATAATGGCTTCACTTTAGTGGTTTTAATTGGACCCCAGACTATCCATTTCTGTACACTGTGTCGATTTTTATTCTTCAGGTGAGTTTCTGCCAAGATAAACTTCCAAATCCTTTTCTTGAAGCTATAATCTGAATGCCCTCCAATAATAGAGTTGCACCTGAACAACTGGACGGTTAGGGATGCTGAGTCCTCCATACAGTCAAAATCCATGTATAACTTTTGACTTTCACAAAATGTAACAGCCAATAGCTTACTGTTGACTAGAAGCCTTGTCAATAAAACAGTCAATAAACACATATTTTGTATGTTATATGTATTATATATTGTATTCTTACAATAAAGTAAGCTAGAGAAATAAAATGTTATTAAGAAAACCATAAGGAAATATATTTGCTATACATAATTGGTAGTGGGTCATTGTATTAGTCCATTCCATGAAGAAATGGCTAAGACTGGGTAATTTATAAAGAAAAATAAGTTTAATGAACTCACTGTTCCACGTGGTTGGAGAGGCCACACAATCACGGTGGAAGGTGAAGGAGGAGCAAAGTCACGTTTTACATGGCAGCAGGCAAAAGAGCATGTGCAGGGAAACTGCCCTTATAAAACCATCAGATCTTGTGCGACTTATTCACTATCACAAGAACAGCATGGGAAAAACTCGCCCCCGTGATTCAGTTACCTACCACTGGTTCCCTCCCATGACATGTGGGGATTACAACAGCTACAATTCAAGATGAGATTTAGATAGGGACACAGCAAAACCATATCAATCATCATAAAGGTCTTTATCTTTGTTGTATTTACATTCAGAAGGCTGAGGAGAAGGGTAAGAGCAGGAGTTGGTATTGCTGTCTCGAAGTGGCAGAGGAAGAAGAAAATCCATGTTTAGGTGGACCCACAAGTTTACATCAATTTTGTACTGGGGTGAACTGTAGTTGGGTGGAGAACCAGGATAGCAATCATAGCGTTTAATTTTTAGTATTTCACTTAATTCCTTTACTGCCAGACAGTTTTTCTCCCTCACCCTCAGCTATCCTTGGCATTCCTGACCATTGATTTGCACTCACTAGTTTTTTCCAGAGGATAAATGATTCATCTCTTGTTGGTTCTTAAAGACATATTCACCTGTTTCTTTGTGTGGTGGGGTGAGGACAAATCTCGGCCTTTTAATTTTTCCTTGACTGTTACCTACATTCACCCATCACTCTACCTGCAGTCCCTCCAAATCAGAAATTTCTCCATGGGTTCCTTCTGAAGCCAAGAGATCTTATTCCATCCTTTACAGGCACTTAACCTTTAGCTTTTTTTTGTGCTTACAAGTTATTTGCTGTTTATCTCTCTGCTCCTCACATGACAAAAATACATTGACATCTTACCTTTCCCCTGCTCTTCTGCCACCTCCTTTCTACTATTCTTTTTCTTCATGCATACACACACACACACAAACACGCACACACACCCCACACATCCACCACTACTGTCGTTTTAGATCCTGAAACAAAGAAAAGTAAAATATACATGTTCAATTTTTCCAATCTCCACTTTCACCTTAGTAAATTTCCATTTTTTCCTTACTTTCCCACACAGAGATTATCAGTGGCCAAATCTAACAATCACCCCTAGTTTTCTTTTTATATGATTAAACTTATTTGCTAAATATTCATTTCTTTACTGAGACTCTTTATTCACCATATGTTTTATAACTCTATTATTTAAGCTTTCTTCAGTTTCTATTATCATGATTTTTTAAGTCTTAGCCAGTAGTCTTCCCATATCTGTGGGGGATATGCTCCAAGATTCCCAGGGGATGACTGAAACCAAAAACAATACTGAAGCCTATATACACTATGTTTTTTCCTATACATACATACTTACATAAAGTTTAATTTTAAAATAGGCACAGTAAGAGATTAACAACTATAACTAATAATAAAATAGAACAATTATAAGAAAATAATAAAAGCTTTGTCAGTGTTGTCTCTCTCTCTCTCTCTCATTCTCTCTCTCTCAAATTACCTTATCTTTCTGTACTCACCTATTGACCACAGGTAACTGCAACCATGGAAAGGGGGGCCTACTTACCCTGTTTTTCTCTGACTGCTTTTTTTTATTGACAGAGCAAAAATAAGGAGACTTTAGCATATTTTCCCAGTGTTTTTATGATATGCTTTTTTTCATAAAACTGTATGACAACTTGGCACTCCTACTCTTTATTCACAGCCCAATTCTGTAACTAAAAGAGAGGACTTGCTCTATGTGCGTTGTGCCTAGGCTTTGCCAGATAAAATATGAAGGAAAGCTACATGATAATTCTTCCTGAGATGCTCTTGTTTCTTTGATTCCAAGAAACTATCTCTACATTTAATGTTGTTGATGTAGAGAAAATTGACTATTTCAGCAAAAGCTAAGCTTGAAAATGGATGAAAGACAGAAAGCGCGCTTTCTCATTTTATCTCAGGAAATAATAATTCCAAAATGCCCAAGCTAGTAATAAAAAAAATCCAGGTTATTACAATATTACAAGGTTGGTAATGTAACTGTATATACTTTGGAAAATAATAAAAAATTTGGATTTCTCATCAACCATAAAAATTGCCTAAAATGTCATAGAAAAATACTTTTTAATATATTTGCTTTAAAATGTATTTTTGAATGCTTTGATTGTCATTGAGAGAATGAATACAAAGGGAACATAAAAGTAACCTAGATTTATCCTAGATATCCAAACAACAATAATTTGAATCAAGAGTAATCTGCAATATGACATTAATTTTTCTGATTTGTTAATTTTTGCTACTAAATTAAGATATCACATCTGAATTGAAAGTCAATTTATGTTCACAATATATGACTGTCTGATAGATAACAAATATACAATGCACTTACATTTTAACATTCCTAACCATACATGTCAAATTAATAATCATAACCTAGTACCTACAAGATAACCAGTACCCATAAGAAAGCAAATTATTTCGTAGCAAATGAATGGAATCTAAAACTCAAGGGAGTCATAAAGTTTGAATATTTTCACGTTTTGTTTACTGATATGGTTTGGCAGTGTCCTCTCTGAAATCTCATCTTTAATTGTAGCTCCCATAATTCCCATGTATTGTGGGAGGGACATGGTGGGAGATATTTGAATCATGGCTGCAGTTTCTCCCATACTGTTCTTGTGGTAGTGAATTGGTTTCATGAGATCTGATGTGAACTTGTGATAAGGAGTTTCCTCTTTTGATTGGCTCTCAATCTCTTGTCTACCACCATGTAAGATGTGCCTTTCCTTTTGCCTTCAGTTATGATTGTGAGGCCTCCCCAGCTACGTGGAACTGTGAGTCAATTAAACTTTTTCTTTATCAATTATCCAGTCTTTATTAGCAGCATGAGAATGGACTAACACATTTACCAGTTTACATTGTAGGTAATAGTGTTTAAACCTTTAAACTTATTTTATCCTAAATGATGATTATGCACATTCTCAAATGAATTGAAGGGTAATGACAACATAATAAAGCATGCATCTCAGGTACCTTTTCTGTCCACTTACATAGAAATAAGAATTGCAGCACATAGGAAAATTGTTATGGAAAATATGTGAAGAATATGTCAGGCTGTACCTTAGGTAGAGAATAAAGGAATTTTTCAGTGCTGTATTTTTACTGGACACCAAACTAATAATTTTAAAAGGTGAAACAGAGTATAAAACATATTAAATCCTTTTCATTTTATAAAATTTAATGAAAAATTATGCCTAAGTTATGATTATTTAAATAACAATGACTTTTAGTATATGAACTACATCTTAAAATTTATAGTAAATAAAAACAAGTCAGTTCAGATTTTATTATAGTTACAGAAGTAAGATAATTAACATTTAGATACATTTTATGTATGAGGCAAACATGTCCATAACATATAGAAATTGGTATGATCAGATTTTCAATTTTTTCCTTTCTTAGTGTCTAGTGGTTTTCCTTTGTGGTTATAATTAACATTTTCCTGATGATTAGTATTGTTTAATGTCTTTTTAGGTGATTACTGGACATTCATGAATTGCCTTGTTGAAAAGTTGTTTAAATTTTTTTATGGTCATTTCTATTTAATTCATTTTCTCCTTATTGAGGTATAATTGTCCTTAGTTATTTTGAATGCAAGTCTCTTGTAACACAAATGCATTGTATATTCTCTGAGTCTGCACCTGGTCTTTATATATTTACTTACATATATTTTTTGCTTATTTATTGTTGTTGGGTCTTTGGAAAAATAGAGTTTTTATTATATGTATTTATTGCTTTTCTATTTTTTGTGTCCTAGCTACAAGTATTTTTATATATGAAGATTTTTCTCCTATTTTCTTCCAGAGATTTTATATTTTGCATCAATTTTGAATAGTGTTTTCATAGGGTATTCTACCATTTCTGCCCTTTACTTTCAGCACTTTTGAAATATATTTCCATTGTTTTCTGGTTATGATTATTTATGTTGATGAATTATCTGTTGATTTTATGGTTGTTCCTGTGACTATAGTGTGCAACTTTCTACTGCCTCTTTTAAAAATTTCTCATATATTATGGTTGTAGCAGTTTTTCTACAATTGCCAATTTTCCTTTTCATTTCTATGTAATATCTCATCGGTTATTTTTCTATTGACTGATCATCTAATTCATTAATCTTTTCTTCTGCTTAATTAGCCTGTAAAATTATTCAGAGGTGCTAATTTTAATTATTTTTAAACTTGTATCTATAATTGTAATTTGATATTTTATGATTTGTAGTTCCAGCTTAAAATATTATAATTTGAGGGCCTATAATTCATAGTTCTCATCAAGTTTGTATTTAATAACTGTAATACATTGATTTTCAGTATATGTTTCTAAATTTTTTTTTCTTGTTTGGAACTCCATGTGTATTAGCCCATTTTCATATACTAAAAAGAACTAACTGTCCAAGACATGGTCATTTGTAAAGGAAAGAGGTTTAATTGACTCACAGTTCAGCATGGTTGGGGAGGCCTCAGGAAACTTGCAATCACGCCAGAAGGCAAAGGGGAAGCAAGTCACCTTCTTCACAAGGCGGCAGGAAGGAGAAGTGCAGAGCAAAGAGGGAGAAGTTCCTTATAAAACCATCAGATCTTATGAGAACTCACTCACTATCATGAGAACAGCATGGGGGAAATGGCCCCCATGATTCAATTACCTCCTGGTCTCCCTGGGCATAGGGGATTATGGAGATTATGGGGTTCAAGGTGAGATTTCGGTGGGGACACAAAGCCTAAACATATCACCATGTAATGTAATTATTTATGGCATTCTCAATGCTGTCTATGGAAAATGTTAGTGATACTTTGAGACTCCTATTGATCTTCCTCCAGAGAGCATTTAGTTTGCTAATCCCAGTTTAGAAGAGGCATGGAAGATCACCTCTAATTTAACTAGAATTTGATTAATTAGAAGCTCCTCCTTGGGTGGAGTTTTTTGGTGCTGCTTCTTCAGCTTAGAACTTTTTTCTTGCCCAATGGTTACATTCACATATTCTTTAAATTTAAATTCTAATGGTATCATCAATGTGAAGCTTCTCTTCTCTCCTAAGATAGATTTAAAAGAACATTTACCTTATTTTTTACTGAACATACTACTCTGTATTTCTGCAAATATAATGTAGTATTATATCTTTCTACTGGATTCCAAAGTTTTCAAGAATAGGTAATGTGTCATTTACTTTTTAAATCTGGAACATTTAGCAAGATTTGTGCAAGAGTGTTGGTATTTTAAATATTATATAAATGTATAATTTTTTATATATTTTAATAAATATTTTTTGCACAACTATATTATGTTTTGTACATAGGTTCCTGGGGATAGATAGATGAATAATCTCTCTTTTAAAGCTTCTAGTATTTCATGTTGTATTGTGCTGACAGAGAAATATCTCTTCCTTCACTAAGTAGTGCACCATTTGTTAAACGTTTTTAAATATAAATTACTTTTGCGCCAGAGACTAGAAAATGTTGAATTTTCTTGGGAGGGAAATGGTATCAGAAATTATTTCCCAAGGGGATAATTATATGAGCTAAACTAAAATGCTGGGTATATTAGCTATTTCGACAGAAGGGAGAAGACATTATTCAGGGAAAAAATAACACATACAAAAAGATGAAAAAATGAAAGAGCACTAGATTTTTTTGAATAACCCTATGGCTAATATGAACTTGAAAGTTAAACAGGGGCCAGATCATTAGAGCATTTCACATCTTGATAAAGAATCTCCTCTTAATTATTTTGTTAATAGGGCTGCATGGCAGGAGAAAGGCATCATCACATATGCATTTTAAAAATATAATTGTAGTTGTAATATGGAGTTGTAATACATAATTGGAGTTATAGTATGAATCATGAGAGTACAGAAAGAGCATTGTAACATTCCTGGGGTGACATTCCTGGGGTGACAAATAATGAACCTCTAAAAAAGTAGGGGGAATGGAGAAGAAAAGATAGGATTAAAATATGTTTATGATTATTTTAATGATGATATGTATTAAAGATGCTTAGGTTTTTTTAGCATTTCATTGTTACTCAATTAGGGCCACTTTCACACTGAATTTTGATCATTCTAATTGTGATCATGTTCGTTCATTCATTCAGTAATTACCTAAACCTTATTATATAGAGTTGACTACTCTTCTCATTACTGGGATTAAGTAGTGAATAAAAAAGCAACAAAATTATTTCCTGCTCCCATTGTGTTTATCTTTTGGTGGAATGTAAGGAAGTGGCTTGTTAAGGGTGGACATCTTGAAGACGAAATATACTAGGTTGTGTATAATTCTTGTTATGTCATGTTTAGGTGACACTGATGGGCATAATTTTATAATAGCTCCTGCTGTATTTTGCATTTTTATTTCTTAATTTCATAAATTTCAACAAATACTTTCTTCTTTGTTTCAGGAAATGAAAAGGTCATTCTCACAAGTAAATGGATAAGAATTAAACACCTAATTAACTTTAGACCAATTGCCAGCAGAGAATAAGCTCTTCTAGTATTGATATACTGCTAAGAGTTGGCATACTTTTTTCATTTCCCATGGTACATGTCAGAATGCCTCTCACCATGTTCAGAGCTAAATTCTGACAAGTCCGTTTATAAGAAATGACACTAGACACTGCTAGCATATAAAAGGAAATTAAATCTCATATGGAGAAAGATGCCAGTGTCATTTAAGCTAGTATTCAGCTGGAACTGTACCAGGCACTGTTGTTAAAGGTAATTTTGGATTTTTTTTAAACCACACATCTTATGGATTTCTTCTGTTCCAAATGCAAACTTTAGACTTATGCATAACAATTAGCAGTTGTCCCTTTTGATAGACCTAGAATGTAAATGATTAGAATTAATAAGGCAAAACAAAACAAAACTTTGCTAGTTGGTCAACTCTTGCTCTAAGCAACTATCAACATATTATTTCTAATGAAAATTAAAATTTAACGATGAAGAGTATGTGTGAATTTTTAGGTCTTCATTAAAATACCTACTAAAAGACATGAACCCAACTAAGCCTTTTACTCTCTTTCTTCTCTGAATAAAATTCAAACCCCACTTTTCAAAAACAAATGTTGCTTGTTACATGAAGATTTTAGATATTAATTTTGAATTTCAAACATATACCAAGAAGAGTTCTTGGAAACTACTAATTGCTTATACAGTAGTGTTATGGTGAGTATTTACTGCAAAAATGTCTCAAAATGAAAAAGCTCCTTTTATTATATTCTGCTTAATTTAGTCATACTATGCTCAGTGTAAAATGAGTTCTTACTTTCCCCAGAATCAAATTGCATATCAAAACATATTTTATAGTTTATTTTCCCTTTGTATATTACTTTGTCAAAACAATATTGATTAGTAATACAATCAGAATCTATCTCAGTTGCAACTTTCTTTCAACTAATAGTTTCTAGGTTACTTTGGGTTGGAGCAATAGTGAATCAGAGAAACAGTAACAAATATTGGCAATGCAATTTTAGTCTTCTAAAATAATGTTTAGTTATTCACAAATAAAAATAAAAACAAAAGAACAATTTTAGCATCACTAGACAGGAAATGGCATACTGTTTACAAATTAAGTGTAAATAATAATATACTTTGCAATTCTATAACATCTAAGGATTTCAAGGCTTTTTTATTGATATGATTTGCCATAATTTAGTTGTTAGAAGGAATAAAAGATAAAAAGTTTAATAATCCATTGATTGAAATGGGCAATACAGCATGTTTTAATGGAAAAAAACTGGTTGAAATGAAATGAAATGAAAAAAATTGTGTCCCCTTGGGTGGGTTTTTCTATTATGTTACATTCTGATAGCTTTCCTGTAGTTATTTTCTGTTGTGTTTCCTCATGCTATTTCACATGAATTATGAATCATAAATGAAACATTTATATGAATGTTTTACATGTTCACCTGTTGCATTAGCAGGATTTCTAGACAATCCTCAGGATCCCTGGGTTATACACTTTCAAGAAATCTGGCCATGGTGGCTCACACCTCCCAGCACTTTGGGAGGTTGACATGGGAGGACTGCATAAGCCCAGGAGTTTGAGACTAGCCTGGGAAACATGGTGAGACACCATCTCTTCAAAGAAAATAAAAATAAAAATTTACCCAGGCATGGTGGCACGTACCTGTGGTCCCAGATACTTGGGATTGTGAGGTAAGAGGATTGCTTGAGTTCAGAAGATTAATTCTGAAGTGAGCTTGATCACACCCCTTCACTCCAACCTGGACAACAGAGCAAGATGCAATCTCAAAAAGAAAAAATAAAAACAAAACCAACAAACAAACAAAAAGAAAATTCTAAAAATACCTACATGCCTTACACCAAAGTCTCCTAGTCTTCAACAGTTTTTAAGCCCTTGATAAAGTCACTTCCTTTTTATGAGATTCTACTGGAGGGGCTTGTTTCATAAACAATTACCCTGGCTACCTGAGTGATGTGAGTTCTTTGTAATTGTGACACTTCTGTTGCCCATTCCTGTCTGAAATTAAGGCTTCATATATGTTTTGAGTTAATAGGCAAATAGCTTACTCTTATCAGATGATTTTCTCATGCCCAGACCTACCTCTTATATTTGCAGCACATGGATAAAGTTGGAGGTTCACATATGCATACTTAAATATTTAAAATCACAAATAAACAAATGATCATACATAAAATGTGGTCTATACTAAGTTGAAAAATATGCTTTCATAGGAAATAAATAGCTCACAATGTAAACAATGCACTGTAATCCTCAACAACCATGTGTAGCTGTTGGAAATATTTTGTTACTTTGTGATTATCACTGGAATCATGTATTGCGGCACATAAAAAAAACAATAAAAGAGGCCATTTTCACTATCCAGAAAAAATGTTTTGTCATGCAAGAATCTCTGTCTTTAATGTGACCTAAGAAGAAGGATTTGCCATGTTAATAATTTGTCCTTCCTCTTAATAAGACACCTCCCTGCTCAAATCCTGCCACACACCAGTCCCCAGACACAGTATCTATTGGTGAAGCTGGAAGTAGCCTAAACTGCATTTTGTTTTTATATCAAAGCAGAAAAGATGAGGATAAACCCTCTCCTTCCTCTGGAATACATTAATATCTAAAGTATTTAGGGTTATTGGTTTTGCTGTGCCAGATTTGAAGGCTAGATCCTGAGGAATATCTGAAAGTTCTAAAGTCCTAGATTGTGTGTGTGTGTGTGTGTGTGTGTGACAGAGAGAGAGAGAAAAAAAAAAAGAGTTACAACTGAGATATGTTGGAAAGAGAGTTTCTGGGGTGCCAGTTGAGTTGGTCTCCCCTGTGTGAGACACCCATGGGGAGCCATGGGCGGCCTCTGAGGAGAAAAGTCTCGTTATTGCATTCATGTCTTTATGCCGGGAGAGCATAACCGCTCAGCTGCATTCCACAGGTTGCTCAGGGAGATAAAACTCCCTTAAAGCAGTGGAGTATAATCAAACATCTTGGCTCCTCCTGAAACCCACTCCCACCTGTTTCAGTCCCAATAAGTTAAAGATCTTAAGTAGTTAGACACATGCCTTTGCTCAAGGAAATTCACAGAAACCGCCACTGCTATACATCTGATTGAATGACTCACAAGTTCTCCTTCAGTGATTAATCCTTTTCCTCATCCTTTCCTCCCCCTCCCATCTGCCCTAAGAACAAAGAGCTTGTAAACCAATAAATTGGGCGGCGCCCAGAGCTCTAGGCCTTGAGCAAGCCTCCGATGATCCGGTCTCCTGGACCCGCCTTTTAAACGCTTATTCTGTCGCTTTCCAACTCCTTTGTCTTCGCCGGACTCGGGGTACCCGCTGGGTGGTGTGGGGCTGGTTTCCCCAACATCATACATTCTTCTTTTATTACTAATCAATATTATTTTGACAAGATAATATACAAGGGAAAATAAGAGAGACTGAGAACATCTAAAGCACAAGTCTCAGGTTACAGGCTCCTCTTACCTTATCATGTCACCTACATGGTTCTTTCCTTCAAATGTAGCCCTCTGCACCTCAGTATCACTCCGTGCATGGAACAAATGCCCCTTTGGGCATTGCAGCTTTTTGTTTAGGTAGGTCTTTTCTATATAATTTATTTATCCACTGGTGATAATTTCTCAAAGGCCTTATTATTCTTCCTTCCGGAACAGCCTTCTTTCAACCCTCCCAAACCCCACTCCCACCCACAGCTATCAAACAGGTATATGTTTGAACTGGTTCAGACTAACTTTATTATTTATTTATTTATTTACTTATTTATTGAGACGGAGTGTCTGTGGCCCACGCTGGAGAGAACCCACGTAATCTTGGCTCACTGCAACCTCCGTCTCCCAGGTTCAAGGGATTCGCAGATTCTCATGCCTCAGCCTCTCCGGAAGCTGGGACTGCAGGTGCATGCCACCACGCCCGGCTAATTTTTTGTATTTTTAGTAGAGATGGGGTTTCCCCGTTTTGGCCAGTCTGGTCTTAATTGCCTGGCTTCAAGTGATCCATCCGCGTCGGCCTCCCAAAGTGTTGGGATTACAAGCGTGAGCCGCGGTGTCTGACCCAGACTAACTTTAAATTGTTTTCCCGCAGACTTTCTGGATTCCATGCAAATGAAGATAGACTAGCATTTTAAGTGTTTCTGAACAACCTCAGACTTGTGAGAAGTTTCTCAGATTTTTACACCCACCCCAGCCTTCAGCAAAGGACTCTACTAAGATATATCACCTTATTCTATAAACTATAGCTAGTGCTTTTGCTCTTGAAGCCTCAGGAATTATTGCCACATATAACTTCAGCACTTTCTCTCTAAGAAAATAACAATATAATATAAAATGAGATTGTATATGGTATCTTAAATCCCCACACTAAATGTTGCCATCCATGGAATGGATGCAATGGAAGCATCCATTGACATTTAAATTTGGGGAATATGAATTTGGTTATGTTAGCATTAAATTTAACTGTACTCACTTTCACCTCAAAGTTTCTACAAAAATCACCTCAACTGGTAATGTTTCTGGAAGAAAGATGTCAAAAATTTTGGAATTTTTCTTACACCGTATACAAAATATTTTCTACCCAGAGAAAGGGAGAATGACATTAAGTGGGCTGAAATTTATTAGGGAAAGAAATAATAAGAAATACTGTTTGGTCAAGAGATTGTGTTTCTAAGATGACATGAGATACATACATCCTAGTATTAGGAAAGCATTGTTTAGCATTTGGTCTACAAAAAGTAATTACTATAAGTAAGTTTTAATCAATATTTACTATTTATCATGTCAAATAAATTTGCTGGGTCATAATCATAGTAAGCTCATATTTGCAGTAGTATTTTAATTTTTTGATACCTGCTTGCTTTATAGAAGATGTATATATAAATATACCCTATAAAGAGATATGATTAGGAAGATGAGAATAAAAATTATTAAAATATTAATTTCAAAGTTTGGGGGATAAAAATAATGGCAAATGACTCTTTTCTGCTTCTACATATCCTCTGTATTAATTGTCAGGATGCTATTAATGACTGTCATCTTAGTTTAACAATGAGCAATTAAGTATCACCTAAATCTGACAGAGCATATGGTACCAAAAGCTGTAGCGTGCACTCTAATAAATGATACAGCTTCTGTTTCCACTGAGGATAAAAATAAGTTTATGTTGAATGTTAATGGAATGTTTTCTGTTTCTTCTGTCAGATACTTCTTTCAAGTGTACAACAGATGATAGAAATGGATATTTTTCATGCTGCTTAAATTGGATCATTATCCCCTTTATTTGGATAAAAAGTAATCCAGAAAATATGATGCCAGTTGTCTTAGTCCATTTTGTGTTGCTATAACACTATACTCGAGGCTACATAATGTATAAACGTTTATTTGGCTTATGATCCTGCTGGCTGGAAAGACCAAGATTGGACAGCTGCTTCTAGCGAGGACCTTACGCTGCTTCCTCTCATGGCAGAAAGTGAAAGGAGAAGATCATATGGTGAGAGAGGAAACAAGGGATGAAAACCAGGGAAGCCAGACTCTTTTTAACAACCCTCTGTCATGGGAACTAATCCATTTCTCCAAGAGCGAGAACATATTTCAACCCCATAGGAGGGTTTTAACTTATTTATGAGGGATCCACTCCCATGACCCAAACACCTTCTACTGGGGACCACACCCAATATTGCCACATTGGGGATCAAGTTTCAATATGAGTTTTGGATGAAACAAACCATATTCAAACCATAGCAATCAACAAATCATTTTCAATTTCAAATTATACAATAATTTTGAATAATTTTAGTTAAAAATTAGCTGGTTTCTATGAATTTCACATTACTACAATCAACCTATTGTTAGTACCCTGTTTTGAAATATTGCTAATTTTTTATTTATAAAAAGATACTTCAGGCTGAACCTTGTTTGAAGATACTTTATTTAGAATGCTAATTATTCTTACCACAAAATATTTTAATTAGGATTCAAGAGATATATTTCAAATAAGAACTTGGGCAATTTTAATTTCTAAAGCTTAAAATTATTAAGCTGTATGTTTTTCATATTATTTATATTATTAATCTGCAATACAACTATAATAATTTATTTATTTATATATTTTTAAAGTCACCAAAATCATTGTTTAATGAAGTAAAATCTACTACACTGAAGTGATTGCTCTGTTGTGTCATCCAGATTCCTCTATTATTATGAGTGATGCAACTGTTAGCAGACATCTACCAAACACTCCTGGACTGGTCCTTGGACAAATAGAACCTTTTTTTTCTAAACTCACACCCGGAGAGCAAGCTTGATACTAATGATTGATCAATGCATGAGTACAAAAACCTGGCCTCTCTCTCGAATTACAGATAACCTTGTAGAAATATTTCAGAGTCATAACTCTCTGTGGGGTTGCCTGAGGTCTTTGTTGAGACTGCATTGCAGCCCAAATTCTCCCTTTGTTGAATCCTGCCTTCTCCCTTTCGTCATAGATATTAATCATAACAAACATCCATCACACTGAACTACATAAAAGAAATTGCTTTCCAAATGATATTATCTGCAACATTTACTCCATGGTGAAAAGAGATAATATATACTTTTAAATTATTGTTCATTAAAATGCAATGAAACTTTCAATTTCAGACAAGGTGGTATAACCAGAATACTGTTTATCTACCCAGAAATAAAAAATGCATACACACCAAATATATGTAGTGATTGTGCTCCCACCAAGGCCATGCGAGAAACTACTGGGTCCTCACTGTGAGAATCTTATAGGCTTCCTGAAGAAGAAGCCCAAGAAAGTTGTGTGGCTTTTTGAACACTGCGACCCTCAGGATTTTCTCTTTTGCATGAGTCCATATTTAGACTCTACCAGTTCATCAAAATTGTCATTTAAATGTTTGTGGCTCTGGTGACTTTTGCTACAGGTAACAAGATCTCAGTTGCTGCACATCTCTGGATGTGCATATCTTCCTATATACATAATTATAAGAAGGAAAATAGAATATATCAAAATATTGTTATCTCTTGTCTAGCTTGAGTGATTAAAGGTGATCTTTATTTTTCTTTTTATCCTTGGTACATTTAAAACGTTTTTTACAATATTTTTATAGTAAGTAAATTATCCTAAATTTCATTGGCTACAATGTTAGAACTGATGGAGGGAATTAAATGTTTCACCACTATTAACAAAAATCACAAGACTCTATACTTCATTTAGTGATAGATAAAAATAGTTACCAAATTGAATATTGCCTTTCTCTCAGAATCTCATTTCCTATTCCAGTCACATCATAGAATCCAATCCTGAGTTCGCTGGATGCCAAGTATGCAGTAATTTAGTCAGATCATCAAAGGAGAATTCATCAATATTTGGTCAGAATAAATGGAGTGTCAGAAATAGGGATTGAAAAGTGAAAAAGGAGCATTAAAAGCCATAAATAATGTTTTAATAAAGATATAGGAGAATAGAAGAACTAAGGAGAGTAGACATGTAAGGCTACTAAAAGAAGGATATTAAAATAAGAAAAAAGGATATCTTGTTTAGTTACAGATTTGAACAAACCAACACTAAAAAAATTATATACATATGAAAATTTAGAATTGAGGATCTCTATCTTGATTATATTAAGAAAATATTTTGTTTTTCATAATTGTGGTAGTTATATTTTAGTGATACGTGCTTACAGATAACATAATATTTGGGGCTTACTTTAAAGTAATCCAGTGGGTTGGAAGTATAGATTAAACAAGAGTGTTGGAATGTTTATAATTATACTGCCTATGTTTATGTATTTCAATAATCAGTTAAATAAAAAATGAAGGAGCAAAGAAAATACATGATTATAATAGTGAACATCTATAAAAAAGGAGAACTTTACATTAATGAGAAGACTCAGGGTGACCTTCAGGCCTGCCCTGTGCTCTTAAGCATAGACTTCATTTTCCTACTGAAAATTTTTGGACAAGTTCTCTTCTATCTGCTTTGATTGTCTCATCTCCAAAGAGTGGTTCATTCTTTGAGAACATAATGTAAAGGTATTCAGTGAGAAGAATAGTTTTGAAATGTGTAGCATGGTAACTACTATGTATATAGAACTTCATATGTATTATTAGCTATTAAAATTACTTTCTTGAATGGTGGCTAAAATAAATAATAACTGTAGCTTCATTTATTGTTTGTAAGAATCAACGGGAATATATGATTTAGATTTTATTTTTTCTACAGATTCAGTTAAGTTGATAGAGCATACTGCAGCTATTGCTACTCCCTAGATATTGAGCTAAGCTTGGGTTTAGAAACTAAAAACAAACATGACACAGTCCAGGTCTACCCACTTTAAGAACCTTAGGATCTAGGGGTGAGGGAGAAGGATAACCAGGTAGAGGGAGGAAGAGATACTTTAAAAACACAAAAAGTAATGATAAATTGTTAAAATAATACATATGGTAATTATCCTGATTTGATCATTATACAAATGTATATAGGCATTGAAACATCACATTGTACTTCATAAATATGTACAATTATGTCAATTATAAATTAAAAATTAATTAAATAGTAAGGAAACGAAGGTACAGTTTTAGTGATTTTCCCGTATTAAAGGAATTCAGTAGTGTCAAGGATAAGAATATACATTTCCTAAATCCAGATTTCCCAAATTATGGGTCTTTGCTCTTTTTTGTGTGTTACACTGTCTGCCATGCTATTTTTTCAGAAAAGCAAGTTGGAACGGGCAGAAGAAAAATCTACCCTAACAATGAATGTCTACGTATGCACATTTTTCCAAATGAATTGGATCTGTGATGTCAGGGGCTCATTTTGTTTTTGTTTCTCACTATTGATTTCATAGTTTGGACAGCCCTTGGCCATAAGTAGGTGAATAATAAATATTTCTTGGATTATTGAATAAATGAATGAACCAGATATATGTATTTTACCAGGTTTTGTTGAGATAATTCATTGTTGTATATGTTAATACACAGAAAACACCATTCCTCTGTGGTTTGATTATTTTCTTCATAATAACAATATGCATTTAAAAGTTAAATAAAATTATAATAAAAAAGTAGCATTTAGCTAGTTTGTAATAATTTGTTAAAAAAATTGAGCTATTCCAGCTCAAGGGAAAGACCTCATAATTGATGGTGCCCTCACAATCTGAACTCCGAATAAAATTTTAACTTATGTACATAAAATAGATCATTTGCTGTTTATATTTTTGAGCATTTTAATCCATTTCACAGATAAGTATTAGTACTATAGCTAGTACTTAAGTAAAAAGAAGTCACATTTATTTCTCTTAATTATAGAGATAAGATATGAAAACGATTCACAATCATTTAAATCTTTACACAGAGACACATTTTTAATTTTAGAAGCCTCAGTTTTTGTTTTTGTTTTTTTTGTTTTTTTTTTTGAGACAGAGTCTTGCTCTGTGCCCAGGCTGGGGTGCAGTGGCGAAATCTCGGCTCACTGCAAGCTCCGCCTCCCGGGTTCATGCCATTCTGCCTCAGCCTCCCGAGTAGCTGGGACTACAGGCGCCCACCACCATGCCCGGCTAATTTTTTGTATTTTTAGTAAAGACGGGGTTTCACCGTGTTAGCTGGGATGGTCTCGATCTCCTGACCTCGTGATCTGCCCGCCTCAGCCTCCCAAAGTGCTAGGATTACAGGAGTGAGCCACCACACTCTGCCAGAAGCCTCAATTTTTTACCAAGATGAGAACTGATGTTTTGAGAGGTTTCTAGAAGGTGAATTCACTTTCGTTCAGAAATTAGAGATGCAGATGATGCACAAGCAAGAATTTTAAATAATATTTTGTATTTTTACTGCAATGTATTTTAACTTATATATGTGGTTAACTCCTTTCTCATGCTCAGTTTTTTTTGTTTATTTGTTTTGCTTTTATTTACTCTGTGCCTGAATTTTCATTGAGCACTTGCTAAGGAACTGTTGTGAGCCAATATTATTCTTGCTCTCATGTATGTAGCAAGAAGCCTTAAGAAAGATTTATTAGAAAAAAAAATGACTATAGAAATACAAGGCATGATTTGTGTTTATGGTGAGAAATTGAAAAGGAAAAGATGCAGGGTATATTTCTAAGGATTCTACAACCCTATCTGATCAGGCTGATAGCTCTGACCTTCCATTTGTACAGAGTAAGAAGGTTTCTAATTGTTTGCAGATCACTTAGCAATTGATGGTGCCATTTTCCTTGGGCAGCCCATTTGCCAATCGATATTTTCTGGCAGAGTCAAAGTTTAGCAAGACATAACGAGAGTAACTGAAATGTCTCCATTAATAGAGAAATCCCACGAGCAGAAACTGTGAGACAAGAGAGTCAAGAAATTTTGTTTATTCCACAAACAAGTACTAAGTTTACTATCTATGAAACCATCAAGGATACAGGCACTTAAAGGTATTCACACTTCAATTACTAGTATTAAATATATTTCTTCACTGCCTTGCTTTTATGTAAGGATAATTATTAAATAATATATTTAAAATAAACCATTAAGTAATAGCTCTTTTAATTTGAGAAAGAAATTATGTAAACATTCAAGTAATAATGAACAATTAAATTTTATTGAAAGACGTATTTCATAAAGATAGATTTATAGGTTTTAATTTTTTTTTAAATTCTTACATTCTTAATTGCTATTTGCCATAGTACTTGCTGATTTCATCCTTTCTTTTCTACTAAAGCATGAAAATTCAAGTAGGTTGGCTATATGGGGATGATGAAAATACTTCATCCATAACACTCTTCCACTGCATTGTTTTTTCATCCATAATGCAACTCTTTATGGGTCTCTGATCTATCACAATGGCTGTCAAAATGATTGATGAAGCTGCTGCTTAAAAAATATTTAGACGCTTGGGTCGTTAGGTTTGTGGCAAAGGGCAATGGAAAGCCTTGTGAACGTGACTAAACTACATTTTTGGTGGGTCAAAAAGGCTAGTTTTTATACAAAGGAATTATTAGGTAAAGTGTTATTCAAAAGTAATTTTTAGCAGAAAACATTGTTTTAAATTGGTCTGGGACTACGTGTTGCATGATGGATCATAGCTGAATCATTTATGAAACACTGAAGGACCACATGAACAAAAGTCTCTTCAAGGATCAATGTTAAGAATCTAGGTGTTCCATTTATACTACAAAGTTAGGTTTAAATTTATGTAAACCTCAGTTACTTGTATTATGACATCTTTTTGCTTCATCTTCCTTCTTATTTTCTAGAACTTATGCATAGAGATAAGACACTGATTTCTCAAACTAATTTATCCATTGTTAGTTAACTTGTAGCAAGAAAATTAATGGGCTATGGGAGCCAGATAAAGCAAGATTCCAATCTTCATTCTACCATATACCCAACGAGTCTTTATTTGCTTATCTTTAAATGGGGCTAATGAAAATTAAATCCCATAATTACTGAGATTTCAAGGTAATAATTCATTAAATAGTTCAAACAGACTTAACAGATATTAATCTTCCTTTCACTATAAATTTAACTCAAAATATAATGAATTTGAAGAAAATTACAAATGATATGTTGTAGAACTTGTTTAGAAGAAACAAAAGCAAATTTTCAAAAGGTGGAGTTTGGCAAAATAATTTTGAAAACAATAGCTATTCTATAAATTGACACTAATCATGATTCATTGCCCCCCAAAATAAATAAGAATAGAAAACATAATTAATCAAAGAAATAAGCAAAAACCTAATTCAAACAAAGAAAAAGCATTTTTTGAAAAGATTCCTAACATGAAAATGAGAAAATAAATAATTTACAAACACAATCAATTGAACACTTAGATCAATTACAAAAAATTGCTAATTTAGAAATTAAAGAATCATATTGATATTGCACAAAAATGAACACAATTGACATTTTCCAGCTTCTGCCCTTTGTGCTTTTCTTTTGATTCACATAGAATGCTTATGTTATTATTATGTACACATCAGAACATAAGCTGCAGGAGGGCGGGCAGTTTTGTCTGTTTACAAATGTACCTCATGTACCTAAAACAATGCCTGATATGTAGTAGAGTCTCAGAAAATATTTTTTAACATTTTTAAGCAAGAAGCGAAGCTCTCATCACACACACAAAAATGATAAATATTAGAGGGAATGGATATACAAAATACCATGAACTGATTTTTTATGCATTGTATCCATGTACCAAAACATCACACTGTACTCCATAGTATGTACAATTATCATATGTCAAGTAATTAAAAATAAAATTTAAAAGAAATAAGTAAAGAAAAGAATAAGTGAAAGAAAAATGAATACATAAATGAATGGACAAACAGGATACTTTCCCACAATAACCTGCCCTTTTCACTCTGTTAAAAATTAAATAGGTGTCAACTGTACAGAAGTGGATGTTATTATTAACCCTCTTTCACAGGGGAGAGAACTGGGCACTAAACCTTCATAAAAGGAAATCACATCTCTTGGCCGGGCGTGGTGGCTCACGCCTGTAATCCCAGCACTTTGGGAGGCCGAGGTGGGTGGATCACCAGGTCAGGAGATCAACACCGTCCTGGCTAACAGGGTGAAACCCCGTCTCTACTAAAAATACAAAAAAAAAAAAAAAATAGGTGTGGTGGCGGGCGCCTGTAGTCCCAGCTACTCAGGAGGCTGAGGCAAGAGAATGGTGTGAACCTGGGAGGCGGAGCTTGCAGTGAGCTGAGATAGCGCCACTGCACTTCAGCCTGGGCGGCAGAGTGAGACACTGTCTCAAAAAAAAAAAAAAAAAAAAAGGAAAAGAAAAAAAAGAAAAAAGAAATAACATCTCTGTTAAAGGGTAAAGACAAAACAGAAATCCACTCCATAAGACTCAGGTGGTCTTGCTTTATTCTATTGTGTCCCAACTACTGGATAAATTCTAGACTTATTGATCATATTTTATTGCTATTTCAATTATTGTTATTTTCAGCTTTAATATCTATATATAAGTTTCCTCTTTGATTCCCTGGATTATATTTAACATTTTCTTTATAACTCTTTAATTTGAACATTTATTTATTTTTACTCTTTTGTGACTAATATTGGAAACCAGAAACCCAAAAAGACAACTTTTGTGGAAACTGATTTTTATATAATGTATTCAGTCATTGCCATTATGTCAGTAGTCAAAAATTTCAGTTTTCCTTTGTTATACTGATTTCTTAGACTAATATTTAATTTCTAGAGGGGCTAGACATTTTTAAAACTTTAGCTGTTGATTTTGCAATTATATTTCTGCATGAATTATACTTAGATACATTTGTGTTTTATATAAACATAAATCACTTTATGTTTCAAGGATATATGAAATAAACATGTATTCTCTTTTCTTTCCTATGATATAAATATCTAGGACTCTATAATGACAAGATGTGATAATTCAATGTGCTCATTAAGATAACTATTGATCTTCTTTTATCTTTTCTTACAGTTTGTGATTTGCTTTTGTTTTCTTTTTCAGGTGTTTGGTATATGTATTTGCTATTTTATCCTCTATTATTTGAATTTTTATTGTTAGATTTTAAATTTTTAGTTTATTTATTAAAAATAACAAGAAATAAATATAATTCTACATACATCTATTGTAAGCTGAGATGAGCTCCCTTTTAATTATTCCCTTAATTCCACTCATTTCCAAATTTTGTACATACAATGTAAGGGTTTAGATTCACATTTTTAATCTTGGTAATTTTTTCATGTAATAGCTATGCATTTCTACTAAGGTTCCTAACCACTTAAATATATTTACTTAGCTCTAATTATGCTTTACTTTTTTCCTTCCACATTGTCAACCTTTGCGTCATAACTTTCCTGTGTATCACTTTCAAATTTCAATATTTTATTGGAATAAATATATATAATTTCACCTTCCCATATTTTAGAATATATACTTAAAACTTTAGTATTCTTTTATAGTAAAACAGAATAATTCTACACATAATTTGTAACAAATCAGGTTTCTAACTCTAATAGTTGAGGCTATAGGGTGTTAATATTAAAAAAAATTCACTTTTTGTAAAATGTTCCAGTAATAGGCATGTTTAGCTATATTATTTAGCTATATTATCGTGCCAGCAGGGAGTCCTAAATTGCTTACAGAAGATTAAAGTCAAGGAGGTCACAGAAATGGGTCTTGACAACTAAAATGTTTTCTAGTAGACTTGATATATTCTGAAATTGTTTATAAGACCGATTTGTGCCTTAGGCACTGTGATTTTACAGAAAATAAGGTCAATACATAACTCAAAAAGTAACTTAACCGATTTAGTTTCCTGTCTTTCTGCCCTTGTTATTCATTAAACTATTTAAGCAACAATATATTTTTTTACTCCCTACTCAACTTCCCCATTTGATCAGTTTGAGGGCTATTTTGTTATTGTGGATGAAAACCAATAACTGGGGTAATTCACAGGGGCAGGGCTATGGAAAGTATATTGAACTTTCTTTAGAATTTGATTTTTCTGTTTACTATGCCTGTGAAATTGACCAATACGATATTTTTCAGAACTTCAGTTTTCTTTTTTCTTTTTTTTTTTTTTTTTTTTGAGACGGAGTCTCGCTGTGTCTCCCAGGTTGGAGTGCAGTGGCGCGATCTCGGCTCACTGCAAGCTCCGCCTCCCAGGTTCATGCCATTCTCCTGCCTCAGCCTCCCAAGTAGCTGGGACTACAGGCGCCCGCCAACACGCCTGGCTAATTTTTTGTATTTTTAGTAGAAACGGGGTTTCACCGTGTTAGCCAAGATGGTCTTGATCTCCTGACCTCGTGATCCGCCCGTCTCGGCCTCCCAAAGTGCTAGGATTACAGGCGTGAGCCACCGCGCCCGGCAGAACTTCAGTTTTCTTATCTGCATGGAAAAATTAACAAAAACATCAAAGACAACTTGTATATACAAGGAAAACATGTATTACATAAACTCTAAAATGCTATTCAAATAGGAAGTATTATTTAACACACAGTGAAGTATCATACAGGTTGTCAAGCCCAGACACCTAGAAATCTTCATTTTCAGTCAGCGTCCACATTAGCCTATGCAAAAGTCCTCATTCATATCCACGTCTCTCATCCCACGATTGATCTCAAACCACACACCACTTCTTTATCTCTCTCTTCATCTCTTTCTGTCTCTATCTCTATCTTTCTCTATCTCTATCATCTCACTCCACTGTCCCTGCCTTAGTCCAGGACCACAACTAGTAGAAAAGCCTCTAAACAGGTTTCTGGCTTCCACTTATAACACTAAAATATGCTCCACACAAAAGTCAGAACAATCTTTTGAAATGTAGATCAGGTCATTCCATTACCTCATTTAATGCTGCAATAAAATTCAAATGCCTGACTGTGCTTTTTATTGCTCTTTGAGATCTTACATTGCCCCAGCCTTGCAACTGCTTAGAGGTGCTCTCTTGGGTTCCAGCCACACCTGCTTCCTTGGCATATAGCACAATTCCCAATAGAGAGTAGGCATCTGATATACATATTTCAATGGAATAACTGAAGTAACATCTCATACATTGAAAGAAAGAACTCAAATTAGAACTCAAATTAGAAAAGTAGACCATGGGCAACAAAATGAACGTTCTCTAATTCTAGCAGCTATCTTTTATACACATATACACATACACCTTTTGCCACTGTCTGTGGTTTTTTTGTCTGCATCAGCGTGAATACTAAATGTTATTTATTAAAAATTATTCCTTTTTTGAAGCTGACTTCTCCATTGTCTTTGTTCTCCTTAGTTTTCCTTAAGTATGTTTTCTTCTTTGATATCTCCATAAATATTTGTAATGACATTGAATTAATATAAACTATTTTGCATAAATATGATGCATTATATACCTTGCCTCCAAAATATTAATACTTTTTTCATGTTAATTTCATTAACTTTTATTTTATTTCCCGTGCGTGTGTGTGTGTGTGTGTGTGTGTTTAGATAAATATAAAGTTGTGGGAAACAAAAATTAATTTATATGAGGAAATTCAATTAGAATTAAAGAGCACTTTATTTCAATTTGCATACCATAAATGGTAATGAGTTATATGAATATATTTAAATTTATATATATATAAATATATCATGGTAATTGTTTCATGTCTATTTCCTTTGCTAATGTGTGAAATAAACTTACCCATTTATTGTAGGTTTATAAAGATATAAACACTCCGCATTAAATATCTTGTTGTAAACAGATGTTTCTCAAAATTTTAACTATTTTGCTTCTATAAAGAAACTCTCCCATACATAACGCAAATTAGTTTTCTAGGTTAGAATTTTTAAAAATACGCTTTCACATATTTTTCACCAAAGTATTGTAAACAAGAGGAAACTGGCAAGGTGGTTAATTATAATCTTACTCCATATAAAAGTATTATTTCAAAGTAATATAATATATTAGTGTCTAGGTCCATATGGCTTTTCATAAAAATGAAGTGCCCAAGGCAAAATACGCTCCAAAGGAAGATACTATTTGCACATAAATGCGTGACAATTCTCATCAATGAAAAATGTATGAATTTAGCAAAAATTAAAATGCATCTTGAAAAGTGCCTTTTCTATGGCTCTCTGTAAAGTCAGAGTGAGTTTGACCACATTTTAGAGACTACGGGTAGAAAATAGTGCTGGCATTTGGTATCCATGTTCTCAAATCTCTATGATGTTTATTTGATAAATGGGGAAATAAAAGGAGCAATTTCTGAAAATATTATATTTTATTTATGATCTAAGGTTGAACATATTTTAATCATTAAATTGAAATAAATAGGTAAGTTTGTGAGGATGCAATTATTTCTATTAAAAGTGCTCTAATGAAGTGTACTAAGACTGAAAGATAAAAATTAAAGAGGGATAATATATCAAAAAATACAGGTAGATAAGATCACAAAGGCTGGCCCTGAGTAAAGAAATAGATGGTGTGTGTTTTCTCCTACTCATTTCAATTAAGTAGTCAGTATTTAGTTCTACGTTGAATTTTGAGTCGATGGAATCTATTATTTCAGAGATAGGGTGTATTTATTTACTCAAAAGATTAGAGTTTAGATGTTTAAGAAGGTAAAAAAATCACAAATATGAAAACTTAATACAGTAATCAGCAACTGTTCACATGATATTTAATGTTTAAGTTTTTATAATCATACTCTGTTAATAAACAAAGTATTTGTTTGTTTATAATCATACTTTGTTCAAGTATTTACATCAGATACTACTATCATGGAATATCCATCATCTTTTCATCTAATTATTTTATCCTTTTTGCTTCAGTCAATTCTTTCCATAGTTGCACAATTATCAGTTCTTTTTTATTTCCATAATTCCTTCTAGATTTTTAATGGGAATTATCTATAAAAAAAAGATATGTTTCTCATTATGGCTGAAATATAATTGACACAAGAAAGATAGAATAAAATTAGACAAAGAGTACTTTTTCCTCTTCTTTTTGTTTTTTTTTTCGACACATGATCTTGCTCTACTGTCCAGGTTGGAGTGTAGTGGGGCAATAATAGCTTACTGCAGCCTCAAACTCCTGCTACCATGCTATGCTAATTAAAAAAAAAAATTGTAGAGATGGTAGAGTCTTCATATGTTGCCCATGGCTGGTCTCAAACCCCTGGGCATAAGCAATCTTGTTGCCTTGGCTGGCCTCCCTAAGTTCTAGGATTACAGGCCTGAACCACTCTGACTGTCCTACTTTTTCCTCTTAACTGGCCAATTTATAGAATAAAGAATTCATGCTCTAGTGAAATAGCTTAAAATGACCTGTTGCTGTTGTTGTGGCTTCCTCTTTTTCTGTGATTATCATTGTAGGCACACATATTTTTATATATGCAATTTATTTGTATTCATTACATTCACCATTATTTGGTACTTAACTGGCTCACCTTCAGCACTAGACACCCCTTTCTTCCTTTAACACGATTCCATGAATCTTTGATACCTTCATTGCTTTTGGGCACAGCAGAGTCCCAAGCTTCTCTTGCGTATTTTTCTGCCTCAGACCTAGAATAGTATTTAGACATGACAATTCAAGCATTAGGTCTGTCCTGTCCATTGATACTAGGTTGCAATTTCATCTAAATTCAATGGACAAAGCCAAAAAACTGTATTTTATATATATATATATATATATATATATATATATATATATATATATATAAAATATAAGGTGTCCTTTCCAATTTATATAAAATGATAGAATTTAAATGTCTGATTATACAATTACAGAAATTATGTCACGCTGCATATTTTGTTTGATTAAAGATTAAATATTTGTATAATTCTATGAAATATATGTTTACCTTTAAAATAATGTCATTATACCTTCACTAAGTTTCATTGCAAGTATTTATCTTCATACTACATTTTTCTAAAAATATGCAATCGAAATTCAGTGTCTAAGATTACTTGTTTATCTCCATTTGTTTTCAAATTTTAGGGATTAAATTTTCCCTTTTAATTTTTATTTTACATTTTAAGTGTCTGTAAATTTTCAAGGCAAAATTATATGATAAGATATATTTTAAAACCTGTGTAGGTACGTAGAAATCTTTTCACTCCTTTTTTTCTAGTTGCATAATATGTCATTAAGTGGCTATGTCATAGTTTCTTCACAGTCCTCTACAAGTGGATTTTTCATTTCCTTGAAATCTTTTGCTATGACAAATAAGCTTTCATGAAAAAACAGGCATAGACATTTTATATTTTTCTAGTGCATAAGTGGAATTGATTTGAAACGTAGAATATCTATTCAGATTACCTTCTGTAGCATTTATTCCCAAATGAATTTCTGTCAGCAATTTAGAACAGTGTGCAGTCATCCAAAGCCATTCAAAGAGTAAACATATTGTTATTTTTCTGTACTGTTTCCAAGCTGGTGAGATATGGAATCTTGACATCATTTAAATTTTCAATAAAGTTCAGCATATCATTATAGGGTATTTTCATTTCTTGTTTGTGTATTGTTAATTTATATATTTTGCCAACTTTTCTATCCATTTGTTGGTCTTTATCCTCTTTTAGAAACTGTTTGCCCATTGGCAATATTAGCCTTTGTCTGTGATATAAGTTGAAAGTATCTTCCTTTCAGTCAATTATTTTTATTTTACTTTTATTATGGTTTTTTTTGAAATGTGAGTTTTGTGGTGGTCAAATTAATAGGTCCTTTATTTCATAGCTTTTGGGCTTTTTCACCCAAAGGAAATATTTTTCTAAAAATACGCAATCAAAATTCAGTGTCTAAGATTACTTGTTTATCTCCATTTGTTTTCAAATTTTAGTGATTAGATTTTCCCTTTTAATTTTTATTTTACATTTTAAGTTCCCGCTCCTGGGTTATAAAAAAATTCACTGATATTTTCATTTCTTTTAAGCACGATTAAGTATGATTTTATTATTTTTATATTTAGTCTACTGGAGCCTATTAGAGTGTAGCATGTGAATTTATACTCAAAAGTATATTTTTCCAAATGATGGTCAGTTATTACAATATAATTAATTACAAAGTTCATACTGTTTCTTAAATTTTTACACGTTACATCAATATCTTCATTTTTAAAACACTGTTTCATAAATGTGTCTATCTGTGTATATGTTAGTACACACTCCTTTAAGTATAAAGCTTTATAAACTATTTTTAATTTCTTATAGGGCAAAACTCCTTTCTCTCATTACTCTTCCTTTTTGGAGGTGTCCTGGCTATTTTTAACTGATTGTTTTGTTATTAACTTTCTTGTCTCAGAAAAAAAAATGATAAAGGTATTTTTACTGGGCTCATACTATATTATAATTAACTTAGAGGTTACTGATACTTCTACATTGCTATATAGGACACATCCTTTTTTATCCAACCTCTCCAATGAAGTTATACCTTACATTTACTATGCATTTATTTTCATTTGTTGCATTGTGCATTCCATCTGATACCCTGGTTGATTTTATTTTTTATTTTACATCCATAAAGTCCAGAGTTACATAGGTTTTGACAAATGCATATAATGATGAATCAACCATCCCGGTTCTATTCTTAACAGTTATATCACCTTAAAAATTCCCCTAGGTATCTTCTTTGTAATCAACCACTCTCTCTTCACAGCAATTCTGGGAACTACCGGTATGCCTTCTGTCCCTGTAGTTTTGCCTTTTACAGAGTGTCATACGAATGAAGTCCTACAACATACAGCTATTTGGGTCTGACTTCACTTAATTGGCAAAATGTATTTTAACAATCATTCATATTGTTGCATGAATCAGTAGCTAATCCCTTTTTATTGTTAATGCTATTTCATTGTATGACTGTACTACAATTTACATATTCACCTGTTAAAAGTTATCTTGGGACTGCACACAGTGGCTCACACTTGTAATCCCAGTGTTTTGGGAGACTGAGGAAGGTGGGTTGCTTGAGGCCAGGAGTTTGAGGCCAAGAGTTTGAGACCAGCCAGAGCAATATAGTGAGATCCTGTCTTTAAAAAATAATAATAATAATCTGGACATGGTGACACACACCTGTTGTCCCTCCTACTTTGGAGGTTGAGGCAGGAGGATCTCTTGAGCACAGGAGTTCGAGGCTACCGTGCACCACTATCACATCATTGCCTTTCAGATATTTTTTTTTCCTTTTTCTTTTCTTTTTTTTTTTTTTGAGATGGAGTCTTGCTCTGTCACCTATAGGCTGGAGTGCAGTGGCATGATCTTGGCTCACTGCAACCTCCACCTCCTAGGTTCAAGCAGTTCTACTGCCTCAGTCTCCCAAGTAGCTGGACTACAGGCGCCTGCCACCAAACCTGGCTAATTTTTTTGTATTTTTAGTAGAGATGGGGTTTCACTGTGTTAGCCAGGATGGTCTCAATCTCCTGACCTCATGATCCACCTGCCTTGGCCTCCCAAAGTGCTGGCATTACAGGCGTGAACCACTGTGCCCAGCCCTGCCTTTCAGATAATTTTAATAAGCTGCTATAGACCAAGTGTGAGTTAGAGAGTGAATTTCTTATATGTCCCAGACTCAAGTCTTTTCTAGCCAACATTTCCTCCAGGGACTCTACAAGATTCTCAAAGAGGATAGAGGACAAACTCCAGAGAAAGCATTCCCCATGGTATTGGCTAGGAGAAAGGATTAGTAAACATTATCAAAGTCTACACAGACATGCCCTCCACTCACCCACCTTGTCTTCACCGTAAAGCAGTAGACTTGACTTGCTTCAGCAGGTGGCACTTATAAAATTCTGTTGATGCTGGAGAGTGGGAAAAGAGGCCTCCACCAAAATTCTGCCCAGAGGCAATAGCCCCTCACTCCATTTCTTCTTTTAAGAAATTAATATGCCATGGTAGAGATATCAAAACTGTAGACTAAAGACCCTGATGGAAGCCTGCTGCGGCAAAGGATTGCAACAAGATCTAATGAAACAGACGCTCTATACCTGAAGGTGGGGTAAAAACAAATGTGAAAGTTTCACATTACCTACTCCTTCTCCACCCACCACCACCAAAGTAACAAGTCTCTAGAAAAAAATAATACTAATAGGAATGCAGCTGGAGACAGACCCTCTCTAGGAGCAGCACTAGGGAAAACACAAAGCCAAGTCTGAAGGTGAAAACAAGGTATCACAAGAAGAGAGAACTTTGAAAACTTCATTGCCCATAGCAAATACAAACTCCAGCTCTGGTAAATATAGCTAAAACAACCTTGAAAATCAGTTCAACTTGTTACTTGATTAACAAAAATTTTCATATTTAAGGTTTAGTAGATGGAAAGGTCTACTTGCCCCAAAGCATAAGAGATAATTACTTGGCTATCTATTGTCATACTGGACATAGATCCAGCTTTAAACAAATAATTATGAAACACACCAACAAAAAAGATAGTCTCCAGATTAAAAGCTATCAATAGAACCAGACTCTGATATGCCACAATTGTTAAAACTATGAGGCAGAGAATTTAAAATAATCATCATAAATATGTTGACAACTCTTGTTTAAAGGATGGACAACATGCAAGATAGATATTTCATAAACCAGGCACAGAAAAACAAACACTACTTGTTCCCACTTATATATAGAATCTAAAACAATTGAACTCAAGAAGAGTGGTGGTTACCAGAGACTGGAGAGTTGATGGAATAAAAAGATCATGGTAAAGAGTACAAAGCCTTAGTTAGACAGGATAAATAGTTTTTTTAGGGAGGCGTCTATTGCACAATGTGGAGAATGTAGTTAACAGTAGTATAGTCTGCCTTTCAAAATCGCTGAGAGAAAATTTCAAATATTCTCACAACAGAAAATGGTAAAAATTTGAGATGAATGATATGCTAATTAGCTAGATTCCATTATTCCATATTGTATTGATGTCATAGCATCACTTTGTACCCCATAAATATATGCTATTATAATTTGTCAATTTATAAAAAACTTAATAAAAATAAAATACAATTGAAGTAAGAAAAAGATATTTCAGCATAGTGATAGGAAACTATAACAAAACAATAAATAAAAATTGTACTCAAAAGCACAGTAACAGAAATGAAGTATATGTTTCTTATGAACCATTTATTCTTAAAAAATTTAAGTCATTCTCATGTATCTTCTTTGTAAGTCTATGCAAATAATTTTGAATTATCACTAGTAGAGAATACTGAACGTAACAGCTTAAGATTGTCTAGCGAATTTTACTCTGGAAAGTACAATATATTAGAATATATTTTGAAGCAAAAAAAATAGTATATTCTAACGTTAATATTAAGTTGGCTTTTAAGCATAATAAGTAATTTCTCATAACCATTTATAGATTGTACCTAACCAATATTTGATTGATGAAAATTAGATCTCTTCCTTGCCCCAAATCTAAAACTTTAATAGAAATAATTCACATTATAATTTTTTTCTTCTTTACTTAGTGAGTAGCAAATAAATTAATCCAATATACCAGGTGAATATGTCAACCCAAGTAATAAGGATAATGTTCCTAGTCATGTGTCTATTAAAATGGGCATGTAATTTGAGTTTATCAAAAAAATTATTTTAATGGCAGATATAAATCAAATAAATAGCGGTCAAATGATATATATTTTGCTTGCATTTTTATTAACTGACATAATTATTTTAACTTCGAAGAAGATTCACATTTTAAAATGTTGTTAACAGTGTTAATGACATCTGTTTTGTTTGAGACAGTCTTGCTCTGTCACACAGGCTGGAGTGCAGTGGCAAGATCCTGGTTCACTGTAGCCTCAGCCTCCCAGGCTCAAGTGATCCCCCTACTTCAGCCTCCTGAGTAGCTGGGACTATAGGTATGTGCAAGCACACCCCACTAAATTTTTATTTTTATTTTTTGCAGAGACAGAGTTTCACTATGTTGCCCAGGCTGGTCTCAAAATCCTGAGCTCAAGCAATTCTCCTGCCTTGGCCTCCCCAAGTACTGAGATTACAGGTATGAGCCAGCACACCTGGCTTAATGATCACTTCTTTATTGTATAAGGCTTCAACATTGTCTCAATATCTCAATAGGAAGAAGGGTTTCAATTATGTTATTTAAAGAGTCTTGTGTCTCTCAAAATTACTATTTTAAGATTTTTAATGACCATGTCAGAGAAAATAAAGAAAAAAAAGTAATAAAATATTACTTTTTTTTTTTTTAAAGAAAAGAGGGCAAGGAGCTAAATGTTAGTTTTTACATTTCTGGGGATTTGAGGTCTCTGCAATAATCTGTCTACTTGAAGCACTGCTTCTGAAGATGCACTCTATGTGTGACCGTTTCGGTCCAATGGAGCGTGTCCTCTCGTAATGAAGATGTGCTGTGTGGCTATGTGTGCAAATCACACACGAGGTCTCCTTGTGACTCATTCACCTGCAAGTCTGCCCCTCATGACAGACTCTCTTCCGGTCTCTGCCTGACACTGCCTTCCAGAGACATGCCCGGCGTTATCTTCCCTTTCATTGTGGTCTGTGAAGGACTTTGATTTAATCCTCTTAACCTTTACAGAACAGGGAGCCTTCACTAGTGAAATGTCTTCCACACATTACTAGACATACACGAATGTTGACCTTCTTTCTCTTCTTTCTGGTTAACCTGACCTCTGGTAACAGCTCATTGTCTGAAGCAGGCAACAATATTTGTGCACTTCTTTCAAAAACTTTACACTTTGAATGCAATGTATCCTAATTATACTTGTAAGGGTGTTTGTTATGAAAAAGATCAGTAATTGTGAACAAGTTTGTTTCTTGATTTTTCTCTAGAAACATACTCTGAATTTGTTGATACTGGGAGATGTGCCACAGTCATAAATAACAGTTTTTAGATAACAGGAGTTAGTATTTTTTTCACACAGACAAAACTATTATACATGATAAAAATATGCAGAAGACTCATGAATTAGTAATTTATTTTAAAAAATAATTTACCATTCCTCACATTGTGTCTCATCTCTCTAAAAATCTAAAATGTAATTGCCAAAATAATGTAACACTGTACATCCCTTCATATAAGCCATGACACTTGTTAGCTATGCAGCATTTTCCAAGAGACCTGCATCCCATTTTTATAACTAATCTAATAAAAAATGTATTTTTGTTGTGCATGGCATTTCTACAGGGAGATATTTATATTTTAGATTTTTCTCATTGATGACATAGGAATTTATTAAGATGTTTTCATGCAAAAACTTTGAAAACATGTGCCTTTCACAATCATAAAATTATCCTTTTTTTTTTTTTTTTTTTTTTTGACAGACAGTGTTACTCTGTCACCCAGGCTGAAGTACAGTGGCACGATCTTGGCTCACTGCAAACTCCGCCTCCCAGGTTCAAGCAATTCTCCTGCCTCAGCCTCCTGTGTAGCTGGGATTATAGGATGAGCCACCATGCCCAGCTAATTTTTGTTTTTTTAGTAGAGATGGGGTTTCACCATGTTGGTCAAGCTGGTCTGACCTCAAGTGATCTCAACCTCCACCTCCCAGGTTCAAGCAATTCTCCTGCCTCAGCCTCCCAAAGTGCTGGAATTATAGGCGTGCACCACCACACACGGCCAAGATTATTCTTATCTTAACTTCTTTTCTTTTGAATGTCTATTCTCACACTGCTAATAAAGACATACCTGAGACTGAGTAATTTTTAAAGGAAAGAGGTTTAATTGACTTACAGTTCCACATCGCTGGGGAGGCCTCACAATCATGGCTGAAAGAAAATGAGGAGCAAAGTCACATCTTACATGGCAGCATGCAAGAGAACGTGTGCAGGGGAACTCCCCTGTATAAAACCATCAGATCTTGTGAGACTTATTCACTATCATGAGAACAGCATGAGAAAGACCTGCCCCCATGATTCAATTACCTCCTACTGGGTCCCTCCCATGACACGTGGGAATTATGGGAGTTACAATTCAAGATGAGATTTTGGTGGGGACACAGCCAAACCATATCAGTCATAGTCAGTGATATAAAGTGATCTTAATGTAAATCTTAAGATGCCCATTTTCTTTGATCTGGTCCTTGTTCTTCAGTAATTATTAAGTCCCTATATGAAAATCATATTACTGACGTCTTACTAGTCAGAATAGATTAACTTCTCATTGTAATGATTTTTTCAAGTCATTATTTTTTAATATATGAAATTGTGAAGTGTTATGAAATTTCCATGGGTGCATGCAAACAACATTAAACGTGCTTAGAACAGTTCATGACCCTAAGCACTATTTAAATGTTAGTTATCAATACATTCTTTTCTAAATATATAGAGAATAAAACCTATTATGTGTCAAATGATAAAAATAAGTGTTTGGAAAGAATATGCAGTTTTAATCATTATTTTAAAGTAAGTTAAAATTATGTCGTGCTAGTAATGCCACAATATTTAATGCATTATCTTAAAATGCATTTTTCAAAGGTATGCTGTATGTGTGTTTTAAATGTGTTCCTTTTTTTATACCTTTTATTTGAAATATCTTAAATGAATTCACTTCATTACTATTATTACTATCCCATTCTGTAGGTCAGAAATTGAACTACTGTGAGTGAAAAATGTGCCCACAGTCATAAAGCTATAAGTAGCAGAACAGTATGTGAGTCCAAGCAATAAATCCAGAGTCCCTGTTCTTAACCAAACTGCCATCCTGCTCTTTCAAAGATTTATACATCTCTCATTTCATTCATTTACTGACTTGGCCATTCATTTATTCATTTACTCTACATATAGCTAGATACTACGTATAGCTATATTCTAGGTGTTAGGAATCAGTGGCCAAAACAAATGAAATATACTGTCAAGAAGCAGTTTTTTAATTTTTAAAATATGAATGGAGAGCAAAAGTTATGTACTTACAAATGAATACATAAATTACATTTTATATGTCTTTCATATTTGTCTGACTGCCAAAAGTTATTTCCTCCTAAATAAATTACTATCTATAATTGCTCATAATGCCTCTACACCCCATACACCAATCAATGGGCCTTTAGTTGTAACATGTTTATGCACAGAAAATTTACAGAAAACTTTAAAATTGCAAATCTTGAAAAGGAAACAAAGATTCTTCAAATGAAATAATATTTGAGTAACTAGCCTATTTCTAAGTTATAGGGGAAATTACTTGCAAGAAGCTTATGAAGCAAACCCCATAACCCTATCTTGTACCAAACTAGTGTATATTATTTTATTTCTAACATGAATATCTTGCACTAAATTTAAATATTGCTTTTCCTTTCCCGCTGCTATGTGAAGACAAAAATAATTTCTTGTATTTGAATTTTAAATTAAAGTTTATATTCGATAATCTATTTTGCAGGCTAAATAAATTTTACCTTATTTTATCACATAGATTTTGTTTCCCTACACTTAAAGAGACTTTACACAAACTTATTAGTTGAACATTTTTTGAAATATAATTTCAATATTCCAAGACCTTTCCATGAAAGTCAATTTTAGTTTATTTTTATAAGTAGCTGACCTGATGTGTTGAAGCATCTGTTTTGTTATTTTCTACTATCAGAGAGACAACATTGAAAGTGTTAAGGTCTTAGTTGCAGCCCTATTATTTGGCAAAATGATTAAAAACAACCTTTGTTTACATACATTAATCAGTGGGCCTTTAATGGTACCTTGTTTGTATATATAAATTTCACAGAAAATTAAAAAATGGCAAACCTTGCAAGGAAAACAAAGGTTCTTTAAAGATATATAAAGATATAATTTGCTTTAGGAACAAGAAATAGTTATATGGCATTTATTTATTTATGTGCATTATAACCAAATGTTTCATTTCAAAAAAAAAATGTAAAGCTAACAGGAATAAAGTTATCTTTTAAAAAAGAATATGAGGCCAGGCATAGTGGCTCACATCTGTAACCCCAAGGATTTCCTAGGTACGCCCAGGCAGACGGATCACTTGAGGTCAGGAGTTCAAGACCAGCCTAGACAACATAGTGAAACTCTGCCTCTACTAAAATACAAAAATTAGTGAGGCACTGTGGCACATGCCTATGGTCCCAGTTTCTTGGAAGGCTGAGGCAGGAGGATCCCTTGAACCTGGGAAGCGAACATTGCATTGAGCTGAGATTACACCACTGCACTCCAGCCTGAGTGTGAGACTCTGTCTCAAAAAAAAAAAAAAAAAAAAAAAAAAAAAGGAATCTAATGGGTGATATTTTTGTTAACCTACTAGAAACAATGAAACGTGAGGAGATCCTCACTGTTTCCCAGCATGTATGCTTATGAAGCATTAGAAATGCTTTAAAAGGGAATCAGGGGCTTGAAGGATGGGCCTCTCTTACAATTCTTAAAAAGAACTCAGTGTCTTGCAGCTGTAACTACGTGAATTGCTTAAATTCAAATGAATGGATGAATTCTCAACTAAAAGTCACTGTTAATAGTTGTATTGTTAAGGCTGTGAACTGATGGGTGATAGTATAAAATAGCTTTGGGATTCTAGACAAACTGGCATCAGTAATAAGGAAAACACAAGTTTGTCTAGTCTTATAAACACTATTGATTTTTTTTCAAAATTAAAAAAATACAAACTGCTAAGTTCCTGCTATTGTTCTTCAATAGAAAAAAAAAACATAGCATCTACCAGTGATAACAATGACGTCCATTTTACTATTAATCATAGATTAGAAATAATGAAAAACCTAAAGCTATGAAAATCTTACTAGTGTAAAAGTTTTACCACACATTTTTCAATATCCTCTACTTGTGAGCAAATAGTGAGGACTAGTTAGTTAATTTCAAACGTATATGCTACAATAAATAGTCATTTGTTTGTTAACATTAATTAACACATACAGGGCCACAGTGGAAAATATGTTAAAATACGAGAAGCTTTAGATAGAAAGAGTGGTTAGCAAAAATGAAGGAGGGCATTTTAAAAAGAGAAATAATTATTTTTTAGAAATATGTTTTTTTGGTCTTTTTTATTTTATTATATATATCAGCTTGATGTATATATACACATATATATACATATACACACGTATATACACACATATATATCAGCAATATATATCAACTATATATATGTGTATATGTATATGTATATATGTATATGTGTATATATATATACGTGTGTGTGTGTATATATATATGTAAGTATATATATCAGCTTGTTACTGATTGGTTGGAGTGTCATCATGAGGGTGTGGGAGGAAATGGTCCTCCTGAGTACTGCATCGCTTCTGGGTGAGGCCACGGGAGGCATCTGTCAGTGGGTCTAGATGGAGCCGTTGGAGTTAGACATACAAAAATAATGCAAGAAGATATCTCAAAAGCCCAATCTGCAATAGTGATGCTATCAGCAGGACCTCCTGAATAACGGCTACCAACTGTTTATGTCTAAACCATTGCAAAATTCAGGCTCCTCTCCTTTCCCATGGCCTGGTGGTCTCTCATTAGCTTTGCAAAGGGGGTTGAATTTGAGGGAAGGCCTATTATCATTTAAACTATAAACTAAATGTCTCTCAAAGCTCACTTGGCAGCTTGAAGGCTAAAAGCAAGAGGAAGGTGGGCTAGATCAGATCTCCCTTACTTCCATAATTTTTTCACTGATACAATTTTTGCAAAGACAGTTTCAGCTATACATATGTGCATTAATGCTTTCATTTTTTCAAATCTGAAATAAAATTCCTGGATGCCTCACTCTACTCTATGTGAGCAATGTACTTAAAATCTTCCTCTGAAAAGAAAAACACAAAAACACTAAAAAAAGTACATTTTCCATTTTTGTGATCTAAATTCAGTTTCTATTAAAAGGTAAATATCTCCTTGGGTTAACATTTAAAATAAAATTGTTAGGAAAAAAAAATCCAAAGAAGTACACTCAGAAATAACAAAGATGACATTATAACTGATCCCACAGAAACACAAAACGTCCTCAGAGAATACAAAAAACAACTCTGTTCACTCAAATTAGAAAATATAGATGAAAGGGATAAATTCCTGGAAACACATAATATTCAAAGATTGAATCAGAAAGAGATTGAAACCTTGAATAAATCAATATTAAGCTCTGAAATTGAATCAGTAAATGAAAAAAACCTACCAACCAGACAAAAACCCTAGACCAGATGGATTCACATCCAAATTCTACCAGACGTACAAGGAAAAATTAGTACCAATCCTACTGATAGGGTTCCAAAAACTGGAGGAAGAGGGCTCCTCTGTAACTCATTCTGTGAAGTCAGCATCAGCTTAATACAAAAATTTGGCAGAGACACAATGAAAAAAGAAAATTTCAGGCCAATATCTCTGATAAACGTAGATGGAAGAATCAATGAAACGCTAGCAAACCAAATCAAGCAACACATCAAAAAGTTAATGCACCACAATCAACTAGGCTTTATTCTTGGGATACAAGTCTGGTTCAACATGCATAATTCAATAAATGTGATTACCACATAAACAGAAGTAAAAACAAAAACCACGTAATCATCTCAGTAGACACGAAAAAAGCTTTTGATAAAATCCAACATACCTTAATGATAAAAACCCTCAAGAGACTAGGCATTGAAGGAACATACCTCAAAATAATAAGGACCATCTATGACAGACCCACAGCCAACATTATACTGAATAGGCAAAAGCTGGAAGCATTCCCCTTGAGAACCAGAACAAGACAAAGATGCCCACTCTCACCACTCCTATTTAACATAGTACTGAAATTCTCAGCCAGATCAATCAGGAAAGAGGAAGAAATAAAAGGCACCCAAATAGAGAAAGAAGAGGTCAAACTATCTCTCTTTACTGATGATATGATTCTCTCTACCTAGAGAACTCTGAATATTCTGCCAAGAGGTTCCTAGAAATGAGAAACAATTCTACTCATGTTTCAAGATGTAAACGTCAATGAAAAAAGCCTGTAACACTTCTATACACCAAAAAGGTCCAAGATAGGATTTAAATCAAGAACACAATCCCATTTACAATAGCCATAAAGAAAGCAAAATGCCTATGAATATAGCCAGCTAAGGAGGTGAAAGACGTCTACAAGGAGAACTACAAAACACTGCTGAAAGAAATCAGAGATGATACAAATAAATGGAAAAACATTTCATGCTCATGGATTGGAAAAATAAATATCATTAAAATCAACATACTGCCCAAAACAATTTATACTTTCAGTGCTATTCCTATCAAACTACAAATGTCATTTTTCACAAAATTAAAAAAAAACACAATTCCAATATTCATACAGAACCAAAGAAGAACCTTAATACCCAAAGCAATCATAAGCACAAAGAGAAAAGCCAAAGGCATCACATTACCTGACTTCAAACAATACTATAAGGCTACAGCAACCAAAACAGCATGGTACTGGTACAAAGCAGACACATAGACCAAAGGAACAGAATAGAAAATTCATGAATAAAATTGCACAAATACAACCATTGCAATTCGACAAGGCTAACAAAAATAAACAATGGGAAAGGTATTTCCCATTCAATAAATGGTACTGGGATAACTGGCTTGCCATCTGCAGAAGAATAAAACTGGACCCTTACATTTCACCATGTACAAAAATTAACTCCAGATGGATTAAAGATTTGAATGTAAGACCCCAAACCATGAAAATCTTTGAAGAAATCCTAGAAAATATCCTTATCGACTTTGGTCTGTGCAAATAATTTTTGGCTAAGTACCCAAAATCAATTGCAAGGAAATAAAAATTAACAAGTGAGACCTAATCAAACTAAGGGGCTTCACAGCAAAAGAAACTATCAACTGAATAAACAAACAATCCACAGAAAGGAAGAAAGTATTTGCAAACCATGCAGCCAACAAAGGTCTAATATCCAAAATCTATGAGAAACTTAATGAAATCAACAAGCAAAAACAACCCCATTAGAAAATGAGCAAAGAACATGAACAGATGGTTCTCAAAAGAAGACATGCAAGTGGCCCCCAAACATATTAAAAAATGCTTATTATCTATAGTCATTGGAAAAATGAAAATCAAAACCACTAAGAGATAGCATCTCACACCAGTCAGAATAGCTATTATTAAAAAGCCAACAACAACAACAAAAGAACAGGAATGCTTTTACGTTGTTGGTGGGAATGTAAATTAGTTCAACTGCTGTGGAAAGAAGTTTAGAAGTTTATCAAAAAACTTTAAACAGAGTTACCATTCAACCCAGCAATCCCATTACTGAGTATATATCTACCAAAATAGATCATTATACCAAAGAGGCTTGCACTTATATATTCATCACCATGGTATTCACAATAGCAAAGATGTGGGATCAGCCTAGGTCCCTATCAATGGTGGATTAGATAAAGAAAATGTAGTACATGTTCACCACAGAATACTATATAGAAATTAAAAAAGAATAAAATCATTGTCCTTCGCAGCAACATGGATGGAGCTGGAGGTCTTAATCCTAAGCAAATTAATGCAGGAACAGAAAACAAAATATGGCATGTTTTCACTTAAAAGTGGAAGCTCAACAGTGGATACCGCAGACTGCTAGATGGAAAAGGGAAGGAGGGAGGCATGGGTTGAAAAACTACATAGGGTACTACACTCACTACCTAGGTACAATATTTCCATGTAACAAACCTGAATGTGTACCCCCTGTATCTAAAGAAAAGTTTAAATTTAAAAAGATTTAAAAATTTATGCTTGTTGATCATTAAATTATTGACATTCGAACATTTAAACTGCAGTCACTTTCTTTTTCTTTTTTTCTTCTTTTTTTTTTTTTAGATGGAGTTTCACTCTGTGGCCCAGGCTGGAGTGCAGTAGCGAGATATCGGCTCACTGCATCCTCCACCTCCTGGGTTTAACTAATTCTCTGCCTTAGCCTCCCGAGTAGCTGGGATTACAGGCACCCACCACCATGCCCAGCTAATTTTTTTTTTTTTTTTGTATTTTTAGTAGAGACGGGGTTTCACCATCTTGGCCAGGCTGATCTTGAACTCCTGACCTTGTGATCCACCTGCCTCAGCCTCCCAAAGTGCTGGGATTACAGGCATGAGCCACCGTGCCCGACCACTGCAGTCATTTTCTAAGCCTAAAGAATTATACTCTTGATTCACTTTGCATAGTAATATCTTAATCCGAGGAAAATGTTAAAAATAAATATTAATTTTATAGAATAAATATAGAAGCAGAATCTTATAGAGTTTCAAATTGTAAACTTAGATTTGCAACAATTTTGGTAATTCATAACATTCTTACCACATAAAGATGGACTTCTTCTTGTGCCATCAAATATCACGTTGGACGTCAACTAGTAGGTGGAATCCTGCCTTCCTTTCTTTTTCCTATGAGACAGTTTAGAACATAGCTTGGATGTCCTTCTTTAGTTAGATGTCTCCTTTGAGGGTCATTGCCCTCTACATTATCTTCTATCATTGGTTCAAAAGTAATGCTTTATTATAAGTTGCAAAATCCCTGTTTTTCTTCTTAAGACATATTATGGACAATTATTGATTGACCCATTCTTAAAAAAATGTGGAATTCAATTCCTATTATAATAGTAATATGCATGTTGATGAAATTTTCTTTCTCAGTAATAGAAACCTCTTGTCACACACACTAAACTTGATGAATTGGATTAGGTGAGGCATCTCCTCTTCTCTGTGTTTATACATCTTCTCATTAAGTGCCCAGGAAACAATGGTATGATTGTTATCTCTCTCAGAATCTCACATTTGTGCTAATGATTCCCTTGGACTCTGTAGAATTTATACTACAGGAGAAAGAACACTGGACTGCCAATCAAAATACTTAGATTGCTCTCTTGTCTTTGACTCCTCTGGTCAGAGACAAGAGGCGGTTAATATTTCCCCACTAAATCTGGTTAATGTTTCTCAATTAAATAAAGAAATACCTAAATAATTTGTGCCTAAAAGTCTGTGTCCATGAAATCTTAATGTGTGATTAATCTTATTAGGTCATAATCTTATTAAGTCTTAATCTTATTAAGTTATATATATGATGTCATTTATCTCAGAAAGGCAAGGCAAGGCATTTCTGAGATGGATGACATGTATCTATGACTTAATAGGAGTGACTCACTTTTCCAAAACATTCCAAGTCATCTTGAGGAATAATGGAAAAGAAGCCCATTACACTTGTACAGATTTCCTGTTAACTGCTAAACTGACAAAGAAAGATTTGACCTGACCATAAAGATTCCGGGGGCAAAGTAATACTCAGCTTCAAAGATGGCAAATATTTTGGTAAGCTTAACAGCTGAAAAATCATTTGACTCAGAAGACGCTATTGTACTTATTTCCATTGCTTTAATCTCTCCTTAATTTCTCTCTTAATCTCATAGTTGTATTTTTTAATCCAAAAATATAAACTCCTGAAAAATATTACTGATTGAATAGTTGGTAAATTCCCATTTATTGCAGGGATAAAGTAAAATATGTGCTATTTTTAGTTTCCTTGGCTTGCCTTTATTGAAAAGGTTTGAAGATACTAAACTTTGAGTCATGATTGTGTGTAAATTAGACTCATCATTGTGGGAGTGCTAGAGAAATGCATCCAGCCAGCATGACTTATCTGGATGCTGTTTTTATCAATCTGGAGAGAAGTAATAAAGCTCAGAACAAAGGCATAGGCAATGAATGGGCAAGAAATATATGGATGTTTGAACATCTAAGACAGCAGAATGATCAAATTAGGAAATTAGTAGTTATGTGAAGAAAGAAAGAAAACATTTAGAATGATTTGCAGATTTCAGGCTTGGAATACTGGTTGAATGAGAATGGCTATATCTGGGATATAATAGAAAAATATTTAGGAAGGGAGAGAATTATGTATTAGTGGACAGATTTACTAGTGTCTAAGTGATATTATTGTATGATATGCATTAATATGGTTACATATATAACTATATATACACCGTGGGTAGCCAGAATTGCATTGTGATTAAGAGTACTGACTCTGGGACAAATCTACCTGGGCTGCATCCCAGTGATACATCTGACTAATTTGAAGAGAACCTTGGACAAATTTCTTGCCCTCCTGTTTCATTTTCCTCAAAAATAAAAGGATACAAAGATGTTATATATGCCACAATATTCTGGAGAGAGTTCAATGAATAATATTTGTTAAAACATTAAATGTATGCACAGAAATTGGCAAAATCTATACACATTTATTGAATAAACTAAAATTTGGTTATAATTAATTTCAGTTCCTTTATATATTTGTGTATAATGCTTACAATTGAAAACTATATAACAGTTGTAAATTCCATTCTAAGTGATTTGTTCACAAAGTACATTTACATAGGGATAAGATTACTAAATCAAAGAATAGGCAGGTGAGTACACTGAAATGCAAATTATTAACAATGTGAGACGAGATAGTGCTATGAACTCAACAGAGTAAGTTTACCACAATTCTTTTGCAATAAAAGTGGTAAGAAGTTACTGAGGATTGGGGGTGTCATTCAAGAAAATTTTAAAAAATCTCTTTGAAGTGATTTAATATTGAGCTGAAGAATATCAATTAACTTTTATCTTTTCTTTATGAGTCTGCACCATTTGTCACAGGTAAATGGCTCCATAACAAGTTTCGTCCTTAATGTCAGTAAAAGAAAATAACAACCACCTAGTTCCTATTTCCAGTGATTCACAGGAAATGAATATAATTTGTAACAGGAATAACGGATTTGACATAGAAAGGAACTTAATGAATGTAAAATCCACCTGATGAATATAAAAAAACTTCAGAAATATTGTCGAGTACTCTTTCTTAAGCATTTTTTAAAATAGAACAGTCAGCTCATAGTAAATTGGGAGAAAAAGTCAGTGATGGTTCTTTGATACCAGTTCTTTAATAAAGAAGATATGATAGTAACATTAATAAAATGAAACATAACAATGCACTACTAATAAAATAATAGCAAACAAGGGTTAAACAATACAGAATAAAGACATAGCATCACAGCAGATTATCACATGATCCATTTAACATTTGCAAAAATATTTATGTAAAATGCTTTTAAATAGTGTGCTTAAAAAAGTCTTTACACTGTTTACATCCAAAATTGACAAATGGGATCTAATTAAACTAAAGAGCTTCTGCACAGCAAAATAAACTATCATCAGAGTGAACAGACAACCTGTAGAATGGGAGAAAATTTGTGCAATCTATCATCTGACAAAGGGCTAATATCCAGAATCTAAAAAGAACTTAAACAAATTTACAAGAAAAAAACAACCCCATCAAAAAGTGGACAAAGGATATGAACAGATAGTTCTCAAAAGCAGACATTTATGTGTCCAAGAAACATATGAAAAGCAAGTCATCATCACTGTTCATTAGAGAAACACAAATCAAAATCACAATGAGATACCATCTTACGCCAGTTAGAATGGCAATCATTAAAAAGTCAGGAAACAACAGACGCTGGAGAGGATGTGGAGAAGTAAGAACACTTACACTGTTGGTGGGAATGTAAATTAGTTCAACCATTGTGGAAGACAGTGTGGTGAAATCGTATTTCTAGAACCAGAAATACCATTTGACCCAGCAATCTCATTACTGGGTATATACCCAAAAGATTATAAATCATTCTACTATAAAGACACATGCACACGTATGTTTATTGCAGCACTGTTCACAATAGCAAAGACTTGGAACCAACCCATATGCCCATCAGTGATAGACTGGATAAAGAAAATGTGGCACATATAAACCATGGAATATTATGCAGCCATAAAAAAGGATGAACTCATGTCCTTTGCAAGAACATGGATGAAGCTGGAAACCATCATTCTCAGCAAACTATCACAAGAACAGAAAACCAAACACTGCATGTTCTCACTCATAAGTGGGAGTTGAACAATGAGTACACATGGACACAGGAAGGGGAACATCACACACACTGGGGCCTGTTAGGGGATGGGGGACTAAGGGAGGGATAGCATTAGGAGAAATATCTAATGTAGATGATGGGTTGATAGGTGCAGCAAACCACCACGGCACGTGTATACCTATGTAACAAAACTGCACATTCTGTACATGTATCTCAGAACTTAAAGTATATAATAATAAAAAAAAATTAAAACAAAAGTTTTTAAGACAGAAAAGATCGCATGACATTTAATTTTACAAGGGCCATAACTGCCGCCATAGAGAAAACCATGATGGACCTATCAGAATCATTGCTTTTTGAATGGTTTCTCTATTATTGGTCTATGAAAATTAATTTCCTGAGTGTTTCCACTTAACACAGGCTGTTGCCATTTTATGCACAGAACTTTTTGCAAATATCCCAGCTTCCCCACAGTCAAAGTGCTGTGAGCTATGTAACTTTCCACATGTTTCCTAATTCTCTTCCTACAACTAAGTTAATGTTTCCATACGATGCTAAGAGCACAGACTATTTGCACCTTGCAAAAACAGCAGTGAATCTTAAGTATAATCATTGGCTCTAAATAGAAGTGAATTCTCACTGAAGTTGCATGTAGTTCTCTTGTGTATAATGGGAACACGTCCATATATAGAAATTGTGAAACCTGAAGCCACATTCATGGCGAAGAAAAACCAGCTCCCTTCTGTCTGTTTCCAAACATTTCCCTGGCATGGGGGATATAAATATAGATTATTTTAAAAGAGCAGCCAAACTAATTCATGCTGCAAATTGTCATTTTAAAATATAAGATGTACATTTTCCATATGACCATGAAATACAGGACACAGTGCCAGATAGATACTGTGATTTTTATAATGACAAAATTCCCATCAATATTTTGTACACATTTTTGAGTGAATAGTGAAAAACTAAAGCAACCATACAGTGACTAAATGTCAAAATGTTTTGCCATACCAATATGTTTAAAACATCACTTTTTCTCCAGAAGTTGTCTATCACCATATGTTTAATCTTTGATATATTTTATAACAATTTTATGTGGCAAATTTATGTGGCAAATAAGAAACCATAAAATTTGCATAAAGTTTTCTTTTTCTATAAAGCAAGTCTAATTTTACTTTACTCTCTTCATTGTTAGTGTGAGTAACCAAAATTGAAATCTCTGAGTTGCCAAAAAATAATATTTATAATCAACTTAGGGAAATGTATTTCATTGGAAATAATATAGCATTGTGCCATTTTACCATTATTCTTGCTTGTCTTAATTCTTGTTATTATGACTAATGTAGTCTCTTTATTAGCTATTATTAAAATAATAGGTCTCATCTTGGATAGTACTTTTACTGTTTTCTATTGAAAGTGTTTATTAAATCAATCATTACTTTTCCCCCACATTAAAATTTCTAGTATTCTATCAGCTTTTTCCCATGGATTTTACTACTTTTTTTGAACTCATCTTGGCAGACTTTCAATTTGCAAGCATCAGAAAATGTACACCCTTTTCTAATAGGAGAGATCATATTGGGTACTACATATCAGCGCGTTGTCATGATTTTGTAGACTTTAAAAAATATTGACTAAAATATTACCTTTATTATTCATATAATAATTAAAACTATTTCAAAAATCTACACAGGCAATTTGAAACACAAACTTTTCAACACAAACAGTATAGTAAGATATAAATAGAAACAAAAAATGTTTCTAAAGGGGGAATGAAAGTGTAGTGATATATCCATTTCCTCTTGTTAGTCTGTTTTTACAGTCAGTGTTAAGTTGTCATCAGTTTAAAATAATGGGTTAAAAGATGTCATTTGCAAACTTCATAGTAACCTCAAATCAAAACACGCATAACAGATACACAAAAAATAAAAAGCTTTAAATTAAAACATAACACTACAAAAAATCATGTTCACTGAAAGGAAGACAGGAACAAAGGAAGAAAAGACCACAAAACAATGAGAAGACAAATAACAAAATGACAGGAGTAAGTCCTTATTTATCAGTAATAACATTGAATGTAAATGGACTCAACTCTCTATTAAAAATATATAGAGTTGCTGAATGGATTAAAAAACAAGACTCAATGTATCTGAGGCCTAGAAAAAAACAGGTTGCACCTATAAAGATATATATAGACTGAATATAAAGGGATGGAAAAAGATATTCCATGCCAATGGAAACCAAAAAAGAGCAGGAACAGCTATACTTATATCAGACAAAATAGATTTCAAAACAAAAACCATAAGAAGAGACAAAGAAGGTCATTATATAATGATAAAGGATTTGATTCAGGAAGAGGACATAATAATTGTAAATCTATATGCCTCCAACACTGGATCACCCAGATACATAAAGTAAATATTAAAGCACAAGAGCGAGAAAGATTCCAACACAAAAGTAGGTAGATACTTCAACACCCCACTTTCAGTATTGGACAGACTATCCAGACAGAAAATCAACAAAGAAACATCAGACTTAACCTGTACTATAAACCAAACAGACTTAATAAATAAATAAACAAAGTACACTGGAATGACCAGTGGGTCAATAAAGATATTACAAAGAAAATTAAAAATTTTTACTGAAACAAATGAAAATTACAACACAACATATCAAAACCTATAAGATACAACAAAGGCAGTACTTAAGAGCAAAGTTTATAACAATAAGCACCTAAATCAGAAAAGTAGAAAAACTTAAAATAACCTAATGAAACATATTTTTCTTTGAGGCAGTGTCTTGCTCTGTTTCCCAGACTGGAGTGCAGTGGCATGATCATGCCTCACTGTGGCCTCAACCTTCTAAGCTCAATCCAAACTCCCATCTCAGCCTCCTGAGTAGCTGAAATTACAGGTGCTTGCCACTATGCCTGGCTAACGTTTGTATTTTTTGTAGAGACAGGACTTCACCATGTTACCCAGGTTGATCTCAAATGCCTGTGCTCAAGCCATCTGCTTGCCGCAGCCTCCCAAAGTTCTGGGATTATAAATATAAGCCACCATGTCTGGTCTATAATGATATATCTCAAAGAACCAGAAATGCAAGAGCTAACCCAACCCAAAATTAATAAAGATAAAACCATAAATAAATGAAATTGAAACAAAAAAATACAAAAACATCAATACAATGAAAATTTTTTAAACAAAAAAAAATGGAAACATCTTTAGCCAGACTAACCAAGAAAAAAAGAAAGAAGACTCAAATAAATAAAATTGGAGATTAAAAAGGAGACATGGAAATGAGACCAATAAGTTCAACTAGCCACAAAAGTTGAAAGCAATATAGGGATCCTTAAGGAATTATCAGACACTGAGATTTTGTAGGTAAATTTTTCTAGCTTATATTCACTAATGGGAAAACGTATTCTAATAAACTAGCACTGACTCATTACATGAATAGATCTAAGCCATCAAGTGACAGACAGAAAATTATGTGCTGTTGTGAAAGACAAGGAAGGGCAGGAGAAGATAGTGAGAAGTCAGTGAGGCTCCAAGCAAAATTATGCTGCATTTGATATATTTCTCCACATGTAAATACACAACAGGTGTAGCTGAAACTTGCTTGCTAGTCATGTAAAACATTGCACTATGAAACTTTACTTACAATTAGAGACCAAGTTTGAAATTCATTTCAGAGAATGAATAGAAGTTAGATAGGAAAGTATAGTTAAGATAGAATATTATAGGACATAATTTCAAACTGTGTTACACAAAGGAAAATTTAAAAAGTCACACTTGAATGTGATACAATATCCCTTTCTATCTTTCATCAAAGCAACTCTGTTTTTATATAATGGCTTGCATTTTGTGTAAGATTGTATTCTGACCCAGAGGATAACTGTATCCTTTTTTAAGAATTATATTGTATTATATTAAAAATATATAGATTCAAAATTTGACGAAATTCATTGTCTGTGATTACTTTCAAATTGCTTTAATAAAACACATTTTGAATCACATTTTAAAAAGGAGCCATTACAACTGATAACTGCAGAAACTCAAAGGATCATTAGACTACTATGAGCAATTATATGACAATCAACTGTAATACCTAGAATAAACAAATAAATTCCTAGATACCAAAACCTTCCAACATTTAACCATGAAGAAATCTAAAACCTGAATAAACCAATAACAAATAATGCGATTAAAACCATAATAAAAAGCCTCCCAACGAAGAAAAGCCTGGGATTCAATACATTCATTGCTGAATTTTACTAAACATTTAAAGAAGAATTAATACCAATCCTACTCAAACTATTCTAAAAAACAGAGGAGGATAGAGTGCTACCAAATTCAGTCTATGAAGCAAACATTACCCTGATACCAAAACCAGACAAAGACATATCAAAAAAAAAAAAAAAAAAGAAAAAGAAAAGACCAACACTTTGGAAGGCTAAGGCACAAGAATAACTGAGTCCAGGAGTTTGAGACCAGCTTGGGAAACATGATAAAACTCCATCTCTACAAACGTTTTTCTTTTTAATCAGCTGAGCAGGATGGGGTGCACTTGCAGTCACAGCTATACAGGAGGCTGAGGCTGGAGAATCGCTTGAGGCCAGGAGGTCTAGGCTGCAGTGAGCCATGTTTGTGCCACTGCACTGTAGCCTGAGCAGCAGATCAAGAGTCTGTCTCATATAAGTAAATAAATGAATAAATAAAACTACTGGCCAATATCCCTGATGAACATTGATGCAAAAATCCTCAGCAAAACACTAGCAAACTAAATTCAATGGCCAGGCGCGGTGGCTCACGCCTGTAATCCCAGCACTTTGGGAGGCCGAGGGGGGTAGATCATGAGGTCAAAAGATCGAGACCATCCTGGCCAACATGGTGAAACCCCATCTCTACTGAAAATACAACAATTAGCTGGGCATGGTGGCATGCACCTGTAGTCCCAGCTACTCAGGAGGCTGAGACAGGAGAATCACTTGAACCCGGGAGACGGAGGTTGCAGTGAGCTGAGATCGCGCCACTGCACTGCAGCCTGGGTGACAGAGCAAGACTCCGTCTAAAAATAAAATAAAATAAAATATAATAAATTCAACAACACATTAAAAGATCATGACAAGTGAGACTTATCCCAATGTCCCAGCAATAAACATAAATGATGAATAAAAAATAAAAATAAAAAATGGACAAAAGATATGAACAGACATTTATCTTAAAAAATACACAAATGGCAAATAGTTATATAAAAAGATGCTCAACACAACTGATCATCAAAGAAATGCAAATTAAAACTACAATGAGATATCATCTCACCCCAGTTAAAATGGCTGTTATCCGAAAGACAGGCAATAACAAATTCTGGTGAGGATGTGAAGAAAAGGTAAACTTGTTGGTGAAAATGTAAATGAGTAAAATCACTATGGAGAACAGTATGATGTTTCCTCAAAAACCTAAAAGTAGAACTACCATATGATCCAGCAACCCCACTGCTGATATACCCAAAAGAAAGGAAATCAGAATATGAAAGAGATATCTCAACTCCTATATTTGTTGCAGCACTGTACAATAGCTAAGATTTGGAAGCAACCTAAGTGTTCATCAACAGATTAATGGATAAAGAAAATGTGGTGTGTGGATATATATATTGAAAATATATATATATTGAAATATATATATATTGAAATATATATATATTGAAATATATATATATTGAAAATATATATATATTGAAAATATATATATATATTGAAAATATATATATATTGAAAATATATATATATTGAAAATATATATATATTGAAAATATATATATATTGAAAATATATATATATTGAAAATATATATATATTGAAAATATATATATATTGAAAATATATATATATTGAAAATATATATATATTGAAAATATATATATATTGAAAATATATATATATTGAAAATATATATATATTGAAAATATATATATATTGAAAATATATATATATTGAAAATATATATATATTGAAAAAAATATATATATATATATATATATATTCAATGAAGAACTATTCAGCCACAAAAAAGAATGAAGTCCTGTCATTTGCAACAACATGGATGAAACTGGAGAACATTATATTTAGAAAAGTAAGTCAGGAGCAGAGACACAGATTTTACATTTTCTCTCTTATTTGCAGGGGCTAAAATGTAAACCTCTCGACCTCATGGAGATAGAGAATTGAATGATAGTTAACATGGACTGGCTAGGATAGTGGGGCTGTAGGGGAGTGGGGATGGTTAATGGGTACAAAAATAGAGTTCAATAAATAAGATCTAGTATTTGATAGTACAATGGGGTAATTACAGTCAATGATAATTTATTGTACATTTAAAAATAACTAAAAGAGTATAAGTGGAATGTCTGTAACACAAAGAAATAATAAATGTTTGAGGTGATGGATTGTTGATTTATCCTGATGTGATCATTCCACATCGAATGCCTGAATTCAAAATATCTCATTTACTCTGTAATATATATACCTACTATGTACCAATAAAAATTAAAAGCCTGTGGGATTAAGTTTAGGGACAAATGAAAAATAAAGGACATTTCTGTTTTGGGAGATGACTTCTACTTGGCTTTACAAAAAAATGCGTAGGAGAATATCATGGTGAAAATGGAACTCCAGAGGTTACTATTTTCACACTTAAAAACCATCTCCTTATTCCTTGTATTTCTAAAACTCCTACTGCAGTGTATAAATTTGTCATTTAAAGCAAGGTTTTGGAAAATATAAGGAAGCTATAAAAGAAACTAACACACTTTGAGTATCTTTAATGTGCCAGATGATAATGATTCATATTTTAGCTAACGGAGTTCTTACACTCTGCTATGTACTTTTCATAAGTTACTTAATTCTCATGAATACATTTTTTAAATCAGGTAAATTTATCAACCTCATTTTACAAATGAGAAAACTGATAACAACTGGTAGGGCTAGGATTTATATTGAGATGATTCAGCTCCTGAGTCTGTGCTATTATTTACTCCATGATAGTGTCTAGGAGGCTCAGTTCTGTGCTATTACACAACCATGTCATATTACATAGGTTATTGGCTCAGTTTAGCGATCACTGTGGTTAAAATATGGATTAGAATAATAAAATCAGTATTTGAGATTTGACCCTCTAATCACGTTTTTAAAAATTTTTTTTTGTCCTCAATTTCCTTATCTGTGAAATGGCAAAATAATACCTGTTTTCCATTGCTTTCAAGAAAATTGTAAGAATACAACAAGGAAATTTATGTAAAAAGACATTGTTAACTATAAAAATTATAATTTAATTCTTATAATTACAATTTTAAGCCCATCGGAATAGGTTTAATTTTTTGAGTATTCTTCAGAACAGAAATATGCCTCCCTAATATCATGAACCACCTATTTCCTTTTTGGTTTTAAGAGTTCAGAATATTTAACACATTTTCCAGATTTTTCATCTTTTTCTTGATAAATTTAGGTCTGAACATTGTTTCAGATCCTTCAAAATCTTTTTTTCCCAAACTTATATATTCCTCTTGATAAGCTCTAGTTTGGAAAGATCTCCAGAAGAAAACTTGAATATCAACAGTGCAGATATTTTCCAATTTTTTTTTCTGGAAAGTCTATCCATTATCTAAATTGTTCTCACTAGTATGCATTTACTACTACAACCTATTTTTAATTTTCAATTTACGTCCACAAAATAATAGATTTTGGGTGTGTTCACTGAATGTGATGTCAAAATTCCCAAATTTTTGTCAGCACATGTGTATGTGTCTCTACATATGTGTGTATGTGAGTGTGTGTGTATGTGTGTGCACATGCCCACATATCACTTTGTTAAATCTGGACTCACTAATATGACCTGTAGCAATATGAGTAAGCTGAAATATTCTTTGTGTCAGCTACTAAGATTATTGCTTCTAACCCAGCCTTGTTTTTCCCTTTTCAAAAGTAAATGTTTATATCAGAAATTTCTACTACCTTCCAAGCAGCTATTTAAGAACATGGGTAGAAATAAAATAACATAAATGCCCATTTGAAATCATACTCAGAAACAATGAATAAATTATGAGCTTTCAAAGAAAACAATCATCCTATTAAAATGAACTCTATATTGTGTTGTAAACTAGTTACCTTCTTAAGCAGTAGACATTAAACATTCAAATCCATTTTATTATTCATTTACTGTTTCAAAGATATATGCTAGCCCTCAAAAGAGTTGAGGTATCTCTCTCAAGATTGGGACAAAGCTTAACCTAGTTACCTGACTGTGAATTGCCCTAAGTTACAAAATGGTGAAATCAAAATAGGAATTTTCTTTTAAAAAATAGTTATAGACTAGGCTGAAACCACCCAGAGGTTTTTAATTATTTTTTCTCTTTTGAACAGATATTTCAGATTCTAGATTTCAGAGATTTCAGACTCTAGATATAAGTAGACTTTATCAATGATAGTATGTCACTCAGTGACAATTAGATAATGTATTCAGAAATCTGTTGTATTTTATTCCTGCATAATTCTCTTACTATACTCCCACAATAAAGAGTAATTATACCCTGTATAACAAGCAGTACCTGTGTCTGGATATGTGTTTACAAACTCTTAGGTAGAATAAATTATCTCTTTAATCCAAGGTGGGACTTGACTTATTGACAAAGGAAAACTTTTCATATAAGTATTGCTTATTTGTATTTTTGGAGAAAGTACCTCCCTAAGTTTCCCAAGCTGGACTTGAACTCCTGGGCTCAAGAGATCCTCCTGCCTCACTCTCCTGAGTAGCTGGAACTATGGGTGCTTATCATCACATCTGGAAACAAAGAAAAACTTTTTAATGTGGACCCAATTTTCTTTTATCTTCTTTCTTAATACTGCCCATCAAATATAATTCTTACAGACAATCTTAATTTCTGAAGGATTATTTTACTGGTGCTTCAGCTATTCTCTGCCTTATGCAGGAAATGACACAACTTTCTCCTTACTTCCTTGTCCTGTGGGCCTCAAATGCAGCGTCTGTTGAAGACGGGCCTCCTGTAGTTAATGGAGGGGGTCCCAAGTCAAAGAGACAGTGCAGCAAGCCCATACTGTGGGTTTTTAAGACAAAAATAATAATATAAGTATAATTATATTTTAAGATAAAAATATAATGAGGCTAACTTAGATAATATTTTTAAATAAGTCAAGATTTTAGATTCAGCTTCAACAATCTCAGACACTTTTGACAATAAAAAAGTATCGTGACATTTTCTTCCTGCACATATAAGTGCTCTCTGAGATCACAAAGATTTATAATTTCAAAAGTAGCTGCTGTAAAGCAGAGGCTGAAGTGCTTTGTCCCTGATCTCAGTGAGAAAAGTAAAGATCAAAAATTTCAAACTAAAATGGTGTTCACGTGTAAATATTTAGAAGATAACTAGTTTTAGGTTGAACAGGAATATATAAAGATGAACTCTAGAAATAAACAGTACTCAAATGCAAAATAATTATTGAGGAGATTTCCACATCGAAGCAGATAAACCATATGCTTTAGGAAATCCCTTTCCATCTCACAGATGAATAATCAGATTGATGAGTTTACATAAATGTGAATAATTTTTAGATAAAATTTTTAATCTTTGGGGTTTTTTAATGAGTATTTTATTCACTTTACATATTATATCGCAATTCCACAACTTAATGGTTAAATGGATATGGACCTTGGTCGATTATAAAACCTTGGTGCTTCCATTTTATTATATGTAGGTTGAGAATAAGAGTACTAACCTGAAATTGTTTTAATATAATTTTTTAAAATCCATTAAAGGAATTTAGAAAATGTCTGCCTCATAAGTGCCCAATAAGTGAGTTATTACTATTATTATTAAGTGAAATATATCATCCATGTGTATAAATATAAGCATAGTGTCAACTCCTTACATAAATTCAGAATTTACAATTTGTGATCGTCAGCAGCTCATATGGTATGACTCTGCTTTGATATTGAGTTGTTTTTATGATGTTAGATTGTTAGGGCTATGCTACCAAATTATACAAGTTTTATATTGCTGACAATTATACAACAGAGAATGTAAGGGAGTAAAAAATCTATTGTACTTTTTCTAAGCATGTGAAACGTTTTCATGGTCTTAGGGGGTAGGAAAAGGAAACATAGTTTTCCAGTATCATTTTATCCAATTCTCATAATACTTTACACTTAGGTGAATAGGAGAGAGGAAAGGAGAGGCAAGAGAAGCTCTGAAATGTTAATTTCATCATCTCCAAATAAATATACTCTGAAATGTTTTTCCAAAAACTCCTTTTTGCTTAGAGCAAACATTTCTCCCTTGTGTGTTTGCTTCAAGGAAATAATGTATCGTCCTATAAAGAACAGAAACTAACACTTACCAGACTAATAAATGGGATTATAGGCTAAAGTGTATAAATAGAACATCTCTGATAAAAGAAAGAAAAATAAATTTTATGCCAACAGATCCCAACTTGAATAAAATATTCCCTCAAACAAAGATATAGCAATTGAGTTTGCAAATCCCTTTGGATGTCACTTAAGAGAACATTTGGGCTATATTCTGTTTCTCTTTGAAGCTTTCCTTCCAGGCAAGTAGCAGGTGGATTATGTATTAGAAAAGATTTTGTCTGGACCATTTCCAGACATCATTATGTACATACTTTGATAAATCTTTACTGCAGGAATATGTAGGTTGAATTCCTGATGAAACCTGAGCAGAGAAGGATGTTTGGTAATTTCCAAGTGAAATAAAATACAGGTGAATTCATTGTTGCTGGTAGAAGATTTTTTTAAAATTAGCTTTCAAACACCCTATTTTGCAAGTTGCAAAATAAATATTTAATAGGCTGGCATAGACTTATAACTGAAATGATAAAATATACTAGATAAACTATCACCTGCAAAAGAAATCTGTATTTATTGCTTAGAAAGTGACAAAGCCAAATGGCATTGATTCTGGCATAATGAACTATGGCCTTCATCCATCTGTTTGGAACTTGATTCAGAAATCAATACATTGTTTGCCTGGAGAAGTCCAAGATATTCTCTGAATTTAGACACAGGGCCTCTAGATTGCTGATGTGATTAAAGAATAAACAAAGTAATTTATTGAAGCTTTATTTTCCAACATAGTGTAGAAGGAAGGTTTGTAGTTTATACAAGTATTTCTGATCAAACTTTGGTCTTCATTTTTTTTTGTTTCAATTCTTGCAACTTTATTATAGGACAGTTTGAAAAATTATATATTTTGAGACTCTCTGCTGAATTTAAGGGAACAGCATTTGTACTTATTTGTTTAAAACCTAGCTCTAGTACGATGTGACCTTTCTTAAATTATCAATAAATATTTATGATGCAATATTGCAATTCAGTTTGAAAACTGTTTTGTGACCTCTACTTTGCAAGGCTGGGGGTATGATATGCTTTATATATTTGTTGAAGGTCTTACAGATTTGGGGATTATTTCAAATTCATCTAAATTGGTTGATAGGAAATTTTCATTCTTGACTAAAGATAAAAGCTATTAAATCTGTATTGAAATAACAAAACAATTTTCAAATATTAAAAATTACTCTACATTAAGAATTTCATGGGCATTAGTGTAGTACCTTAGGAATCTGAAACATCGATTTTTCTTCAATTAAAATAACTTCACATGAAACAAAATGAACTTTGCTTTATTCTATCAAATATAAATTAAAATTTTGTTGACAATAGAAAACAACTGGTTCTCACTCCGTGATATGATCATGGAGCAAAGTCTTAATACACATTATTTCCCTCTAATCTAAGTGGTTGTTAAAAATGTGACTTTTTGGGAATGTAAAGGCAATAGCTCTCTGAGTCCCCTGCTTATGTATCTGTCCTTCAAAGACATTTTCTTTTCTGACACATTTTTTATTCTTCTTATCATGATGCCCAGATTAAGTCATTAAGCAAAAATAAATATGTTGAGAAAATAGCATGTTTTAATAGTGAACCAAAAATAAATTGCTGAAAAATAAGATTTATGGAAGGAATATGATACAGTTATAATATGTTATGTAAACTGCTAGTTTATGTATTTATAAAAAAAAACCTAAATATAATGAAGAATTTTGACTATAATACAGATATCTGCATTATCTATATAGGTTTACATTATAGATTATATGATATGTTTTATATATATATAATTAGGTCACATATTTGAATTTTCATGCATTACACCTCCAGTGTATATTGTCATTTTCATTAATCATATAAAGATGACTACATTACATGTTTTTCTTCTGGATGGGGGATAGGTAATTAAATAAGTGACTTGTATTAAAAAATTATTCAAGTTTCCTTGTGAAAATATAGTAAGAAAGGCTTTATTCATGACCATTATGAAAGGTATTGGACAATTGCAGTGAGAATTTATCAGAGAGAGAGATTGGGCTCAACTTGGCAAATAGGGATTTCTGACCAAGGAAGAAGATCAGGGGTGGTCAATAGATGTAAAATTACTGAAAGAGAACATCACAAATAAGAGAGGATTCTGGCTAAAGCAACCTAACAGGATTCTTGTCGAGGGCAGGCCAGGGTGATCGGACAGTACTGGGGGAATGGTGGAGGATGAGAACTCAGCTATAGATCAGATATTGAGGATGACCAGACAGCAAGAGTGAGGGTTCTTGCTAAACTGACTTAGCAGGGTTATTTTCTAAGACTGAATTTTACAATGAAGTGCACAAATGGGCCCAGGAGAAGGTTCAGGAGGCTGACTAAAGTTTAGTCAGCAAAAAATCCTTGTCAGTGGGATCAATTCTTATTGTCTCTTTCTCTCTCTTTCATTCCATACAAAGATAGGTCTTAGTTAAAGTGCATTTAAAAATACATTTGTACCAGAAAAGGTAATTCAAACTGAAAATAATAAAGAGAATCAACATTCTTACTTACACCATTTTATGTTTAGTGATCCCAATTGATTATAACTTGAAGAAAACTGACTGTAGGCTTGTACCATTTTCTTACAGAGGTCTATAACATTCCATCACAATCTTAAAACCCTCTTCACAGAGCTTAGGAAAAAAATCTCCATATTCTATTAATTGTCTTTGATGGTAATCATGAGTCTACTTCAACTAAAAGTTCCTATAGGAGAATCTATTTTTCTATGAAGCTGTTTATTGATGGTATGAAAATGTGAAATAATGTCTGCTGGATTCAGGATTGGGTTATTACACTGATATTATTGATTTATGATAAGCCTGAAATTGTTTATAAGGCAGTTTTCGACTTCTGATATGGTTAGAAAATAAAAAATTCTGTTTAATACAAATATTTAACAATTTAATATGTAAAGTTTATACAAACAACCTCATTTAAAATTTTTGAATATAAAAATTATATGATTATAAATTATGAATACATAAGAAAAACATGAGACCAAAAATGGTTTTCAGCTGTTGCCTAGGGATTTTTTAATGACTTTTCAAGTTGCAAAACTCATTATACCTTAGTATTTTTAACCAATTTCTGATGTTCAGTATAATAAAGTATAGAAATTTCAACTTTTCAGAGAAATATACACTTCAAATGTAATTTGGACTTGAAAAATATGTAATATATTTTAAGAAAACTACATTATCAGACTGGGTTAGTTTATAGGTATAAAGCATAATATTAATAATTTTAAAGTCCTATGGGGAAGATGAAACAGGATGTCTTATAATATCTGACAATACACTAATTACCAAATACTAGTTATAATTCTGAGGCATAAAAAAGGAGTAAGATTATGAAGAAAAGATATATTTGATTTTTCTTTTCAAAGGGATGAATTTGACAGCAGCAGTCAGTATGCCTGCCCTTTAGCCTTGCTCTTTCCCTGAGATGTTAAGCTCAAGAATTACTTTTCTTAGATTATGTTCTCTGTTACCTCAAATCAGAGGGCCTATTCTATTTGGAAAACCCTGAAAACACATTAAGTGCTTTCAGATCTCAGGACATTACCTGCTCAAATTTAGGATTACCTCGCCAATATCCTGTGCTTTGTGAAACGAACACATTCTGTGAACTTACCCTTTCTGTCAGATATTGGTCTGTAAAGCCTCTCTGAAATAAGCAGAAAAGTCAAAGATAAAAATCTCAAAATCTCACTAGCTCATCTCCATGACTTGATTATTTTGAACACTTTAAAAATGATTCTTTAAAAAATGCAGGAGAAGCTTATTTAATGGGTTTGAGGATAAAAACAAAAGTAAAGAAAATATGGTACCAAACCTCATTCTTCTGTTCTCCTATCTTTACATATTAAATTTGCCAACATCTTTATTTTATATACTTGAATTATGAGATAATCAAAGTAACAACTTAGTAACAGGGCTCCGAGTAAAACCAAATTTCCCTGAAACTACACTCACTTTTTCAGGGTCAGGGATTTATTAATGTTCTTGTTTCCTCATATGTATATATATTATCTTTTTTTTTTCAAATAGGAGAAAATTTCCTTTCTAAACAGGGAGGATATTATTGCCTGGTAATTTATTCTACCAGGAAAATAATGAAACGTACTATTTTCTTCAACATGCAAATGGTATCAAGAAACTGTTCACTGACTGTGAAGAAGGTTCTTTTAAAGTTGATATTGAATGAACAAATTGTAAATTCTTAGAAATTAAGATCAAAGTCTTACAACTAGTATTTTGCTTTGTCTATGTAGATATGCTGTTAGAACATATCATGTATTTAAGTGCAAGAAGAAAAAGAAGGAGGAGAAGAAGGGACAGAAAAGTAGGGAAAAATAAGAGGAGAGTGATAGGAGAAGAGAAGGAGGGAACAAGAAGTAAGAAAATACAATAGGGGAGAAGAAAATGTGTTCTTTTATGTGGATTATCTAAATGTAAATCTCCCTTCTTTAAACTCTTTATGTCAAAGTGATATGTTAGCAAGAAAATTTAATAAAGTATTTCTTTGAAATCTGTACATTTTAATTTACTACTATTGTATGGTGACCTTATAAGTGTCACCATACAATATGCTTTACATGATGCAGTATAGAAGTAATTCACATGAAGTTAATACATGTCTTGGGGTTGCTTTTTAAAATCCAATAATAAAGATTAAAGAAGATGTTTAGAGATCAAAAAATATTTCAGTAAACATATGTTTAATTATTTCTTCTGCTGATATAAGAAAGGAACACTTGGGTCATTCTCTTTTTCCCTGATGAGAGAAAATTAAACTTTTGCTAATGATAAAATATATATACATATTACACAAAATATTAAATATGTTCATGTAAAATGTTTCCTACAGCATTCTTTTTATAAATTTAGGCTATTGAATCATTTCTACTCAATTTGCTTATGAAAACCAAGTGCCAAAGAGGATAGTTTGCAAAGTAAAATGCTTGTTGTTGGCAATGGAAATGCAAATTTTAGGACAAATTTTATTAAAAAGCAGTAATTATTTTCTCTACTGAAAGTGTTATATTTGAAGAGAGGGTTTGGAGACTTTTATTATTTAGAAGACTTTCCCAGTTCCACAATTCCTCATTTTGGAAAGATGAGTTTCATAAGTAAACAAAATTTAATACTCTTTGTAATCAAACTACAAAAATTCTCACTTCTGTTAAAGATGCAATCCCATTTCCCATTTGTTATTTTAGAAACAGCATCTTAAACTTTAGTAAAAGCTTTAATACCAAAGGTATTATGTCTTCTATTTGAAATAACAGTGAAACCAAAAGGAGCCACTTCTGGTATGAACAAAATATATTTTGTTATGTTTCACTTAGAATGCTTTCTGGATAAAATAAAGAACAAACAAACTAGTTCATGTCTCTAGGTGTTGGCTATAAATGTAAGTCAGGTACATGAAAGATCATCAACATGCTTCCTGTTAACATTTCACCTTATTTGTTTCCTCAGGTTAAAGAAAGATGAGCATTGTGTCCTCAAGCCTGGAACTTGGAGCACATGTGCTTTATCTCTTTCTAAACACTTAAAAATATATATGTGCAGATATTTGCATCTTCTTGCATAATTCTTCAATGGTTTGTTCACTAAAAACTGCTGCCCTTCAGCAAGCAAATATACTTGTCTCTGCCATCTTAAAAAAACAAATGCCTCTCTCTGAACTTTACTCTTTTCTAACAACATTGTTCCTCTACATTTATCAATTTATAGAGGCCTCAGGATCAATAACATGAAAGTATTAACCAGAAATGAAAAGACTTTAAAAGTAGCAGAGAAGGAATGACTTGAAGAAATTTCTCCATTCATCCCCCAAACCACTTCCCTACCATACATACAGAGACAGACATTAAAGAAAGTGGTCAGCAATATAAAAGACAAAGAAAAGATCAAAAGTGCAAAAAAGTGCCCAATGAATTTAATGACAAATATTTCCTCTATGATTTTCTTTTTTTTTTCAAATTTTACTAAAAGCAAAATGTGCCCTTTTATTGTAATGTATATTCATTGTTCTTCCTTTCTCATATATTTCTGATTTTAACGTGGTAGGAAAACATGTCAACCCAATTCATATCAAACACTAGAAATTAACAATTAAAGAAGTATTTTCCGCTGTTAAATTGTGTGTATTTAGTGACATTAGGAGTAAGCATTATTTTATTTTGTATCTAAAATCTTTACATATAATCTTTATACCTATTTTGATGTCTAATAGTTTTGCCTAGTTTCCACACAATGTAAAATCTAAAATAAAAGCAATAACAAGTCTCTAAGAAGTTTTAACGAAGTTGTTACCCATATATATGCAATGTTCTCTAAATTCCCTTTACTTTCTATAATAAATATCACCTTTTTCACAAACCTCCATTTCCTCTGATGGCAGACAGAAAAATACCTAGAGGATTAAATATTTCACTATTCTACATCTATTTTTTATTTCCCTCAATCTAAGTAAGTTCCATTTGGGCAACTTATTCAGTCAGTTAAGTGTTCGATTTTCCCACCCAATCTTTCTTCTGTCGTCAGTTCCTGTGTGTATGAGAACAGAGAAATTATTATTTTTCCTCAAGGAGAGAGCTCAGCCACTATCTACAAGTTAACACATACCACAGTTGGGTTTGGCTCTTTTCAGCTGGTGTGTGGGGAAAGCTCTCTTCTTGTTGTAAGAGAGCTGGATGCTTGCAGTTAATGAACCATTCTGTGTGTTCTCTGGGCACTGTGATAGTTCCCAGGAAGCTGGGCTGCAGCTCTTGCTTGACTTGATACCACCCAGGCTCTCACTGGCCTGCGGATACCCTGATGTCCATCAGCAAATATGGTAGAAACTTGGCTTGAAGATCCTCCCTGTAGCGTTCAGGTAAAGGACCCTTCAGCCTCTTGCTGATGAGCCCTCCCTGCTATCTCAATCGTTTTTCGAGGTCTGTCACAGCACATAAGACTTTTGTAGTCCTCCAGTCACTACTGAGCTAGAGAAACCAAGGAATGTTACCCTGAGGGGAGAATCTTGGATCTGCTCTTTCTGATCTCCTCTCCTGCACTGCTCTGGGGTTAGCAGGGAAGAAGTCAAATCGTGCAGGGATTCCGGGAGCCTTTTATGCCTCCCTGTCTCAATTCCCATTCTTATACTGCATGTGCTGGAACCTTGTTCATCCTCTTTCCTCATAGCCCGTTCTCTTTGCACTGTAGTCTTCAACACTGCCATCTGTCAGGCCTTCTTTTTACCTAGACAACTGAGAAGTGGTGTTATATCATGCATTGAGTTCTTTCTGCTTTAAGAGTCTTCATTCAGACACCAAAGTATTGGTTCTTATAAGTAAAAGGCCTTCTCATTTAATACAAGCAGAATTTCAAAACTATTGCTACAAAGTTATTTCAGAATTGTAAATATTTAATTGTACTGCAAAATTATTTTCTATATGAGATAAGGATCTATTTCTAGAGATGAGCTTCCACTTTTACCAGGGCCGTATATTAACTCACCCATTATTTTTTCACTGATTAAACTAACAAGTATATTGAATATTAACTTTTCATGTATACTGAATTATCTTCTTGGAAGTCTTATTTTGCTTTTGTTTATTTATTTTGCTATTTATTTATCTATGTTAGTTACATTATAAAATCTTCATCATATATTATAAAATGTGGTAAGGCAAGTTCTTCTTAGTGACCTTTTATTGCTAATATATTGAGTTATTCTAATAATTTATTATCCTCTATTAATTCAAACATTTTTAATATAATTCAGAAAACCTAATTATTTAAATTTTAAAAGTAAATTTATGTAAAAATAAAGATAATTTTATGTTTTATAACAACAAATCTCCCTCTTCAAGAATATCATACATTTCAATTATTCATTTACTATTCTGAGATTTTTTTAAAACTCTTATATTACATATGTTGGCTTCAATGTTCAATCATTAGGTGAATTCATTTTTCCTCAAAACTGCATTTAGTAGCCTGTTCTAGGGGGCTAGTATTTTCCTTGCTCTGGGAATCTAAATCTAACGTAGGCTACATGATTTTTCTTATCACTCTCAGATAATAAAGTATCTTAGTCACTTTAGTCCCTATATAAATCTTATTTCAGTGTATAATAATTAATTTTATTCATATATTCTTTCAGCAATTCTGATCGAGAAGCTCTCACATGACAGAGATCTTTTAGGCCCCACATGTACAGAAGTTAAGGAACAAATAAAGACAAAAATAAGATAATCTCTACCCTCAAGAAACTTACATTCTAGTTAGGGGGAGCAGACAATAAACACATAATAAAGCCAAGTAGAGTTCCTCAAGTATGTTGATCCCAGAATTTTGGGAGGCTAACGTGGGAGGTGGGAGGATCATTTGAACACAGGAGTTAGAGACCAGCCTGGGCAACATAATGTGACCTTATCTCTCCAAAAATAAAAAAAAAGCTGAGCCTGGTGGCAGAGTGCTGTAGTCCTTTCTCCATTGCTTGTTTTTGTTGGGTTTGGCGAAGATCAGATGGTTGCAGGTGTGTGGTGTTGTTTGTTTCTGAGGTCTCCTTTCTGTTCCATTGATCTATATGTCTGTTTTTGGTACCAGTACCATGCTGTTTTGGTTACTGTGGCCTTGTAGTATAGTTTGAAGTCAGGTAGTGTCATGCCTTCAGCTTTGCTCTTTTTGTTTAGGATTGTCTTGGCTATATGGAGATTTTGATTCCATATGAGATTTAAAGTAATTTTTTTTCTAATTCTGTGAAGAATGTCAGTGGTAGTTTGATGGGAATAACACTGAATGTATAAATTACTTTGGGCAATATGGCCATATTCATGATATTGATTCTTCCTATCCATGAGGATGGAATTTTTTTTCATTTGTTTCTGTCCTCTCTTATTCCTTGAGCAGTGGTTTGTAGTCCTCCTTGAAGAGGTCCTCCGCATCACTTGTTAGCTGTATTCCTAGATAATTTATTCTCTTTCTAGCAATTGTAAACAAGAGTTCATTCATGATTTGGCTGTCTGCTTGTCTATTGGTGTAAAGGAATGCCTATGATTTTTGCACATTGATTTTGTATCCTGAGACTTTACTGAAGTTGTTTATCAGCTTAAGGAGTTTTGGGGCTGAGACAATGGGGTTTTCTAAATATACAATCAAGTCATCTGCAAACAGAGGCAATTTGATTCCCTCTCTTTCTATTTGAATACCCTGTATTTCTTTCTCTTGCCTGATTGCACTGGCCAGAACTTCCAATAATATGTTGAATATGATACATTGGTATTTTCAACAATTTTTTTTCATCCTAGAGTAACTGAATACTTATACTTTAACTGGTTTTGCTTATTTTCTGGTAATATTCAGGTTCTCACCATATCCATACAAAAAATAGTTCATGGGTCCACCAGATAAACTTGCCAACTTTTGATATATGACCACAAAGAAAACCCCAAAATAAATCTCTATTAATGGCACATTTAAAGACATCTTATTCATCTAATTTAATGTAAACTTTAAATGTTATAAATATATATTATATACATTTATATGTTACATATTATATATTATATGTCATATTCATATCCCAGTAACCAGACTTATGGTACATGTATTCTTTATTACTATTGTTTGAGATCTGGCTGCTAAAGCAGAAGATCCCTTTAGATATCATATGCCTTATATTCTTTCTACTTCTGATTGCTGAAAACACATTGCAGGACATACACAAGACAATTTAATTGTATTGTCATTAAGAGACACACTACAATTCCCAGAATGTTCCTTTACAAATGTTATAAATCATTCAATTTAAGGGAAAGTGAAATGTTTCTTTAAATTGTTAGAGAGCTTTAGGGAAATGGTCTTACTTTAAATATTAATATGAATCTTATTTTGAATAATAATATTCTGATTAATGTGTCTGACTCATTAAATGAAATGGTACTATTAGGAATTAATCAAAAATAAATATTATTTATTCAAATGTATATTACTCTGAATACATCATATATAAAATATAAACGTCACATATTCTTCTTCTTTGGACTAAATTATCCAACTCATTCAAGGTTGTCCACTCAAGGTAGATAATATACAGAAAGTAGAGCTTCCTTTTAGTGGCCCCTTTACTCAAGTAAGCCACACTGACATCCTGAAATACCCTACAGCCAGACTAAGGGAAGCTTAAGGGAAATTGAATTCACTTTGCCAGTCAATCTTGGACTAGTGTTTCCATGTTATTAATAAAGCATGTTGGTTTACCTCTTAAATTCTAGCTTGTTTCCCTATTCATCAGACCATTATTATACTAACTCTTATCTGTTTATAAATCCTCAATCTGTTGTGAAAAAATATCTTTTAAAAGACAATTTAGCACTGCAAGTTTCTTGTTACATCAAACAGAGAAAAGTCTCTTATGAAAAGGGAACAAATAATTATGAAGAGATGTAAAATATGAGAGTATCACAGGATAAATCTTAGGGGTGTATGAGAGGTTCAATCTTAAAAATATTTTTCTGAGAAATTTATGTCTACTTTACATTTATATCAATCTGAAAAATGATCAACAAAAAAGAAGGAAAATTGTTTTAGATTTCAATTTACTATTAATATATATCTACTATTTACTATGTGATTCTGAGTTCCACTGCTTGTAAAATAATTTTGTTACAGGAGAGAACATATAAATATTTGTGTATAATTGGCACAGAGCTTATGTTAGCCTTACTACTTACATGTGTCAAATCCACTTGACAGCTCTCAGAAACTCCATCATCCTGAGCTAGTCCAAGACATAAATTTTGTTCTATTTCTGGCTAGACTCAAACTTTCCTATTAATGTGTTAGTCTTTTAAAGAAAGCCACTGATCTTCCAATGGTTTCAAAGAGTTAATTTGCTTTTTAAATAACTGATTTTCATGGCTTCATTTGGATGTATGGGGACTGGTGAAAATCAAATGCTATCTTACCTTCTAGGCCAGGGATTCTCAACCTTGGCACTATTGGCATTTTGCAGCAGCTAATTCTTTGTTATGAGAGGTTGTTATGTGCCCTGTGGAATAATGAACAGCATACCTGGCCTCTATCCATTAGACACCAGTAGCCCCACTATTCCCAGTCATGACAACCACAAATATTTCTAAATGTTGTCAAATGTCTCCTGTGGGGATGGACCTAAAACATTTCTAGAACAGAATCTATCTACAAGACATATATGAATTTGTAATACAATATGAGATAGAATTAGAATAATAATTTAAGGTCAATTGATGTTTTAAAATAAGCATGAAAAAGGTATGATCTCTAAAAATACATTTTTAAAATTTATGTTGTCAAATTTCAACTGGCATTCTTGTTTTCTTTAAGAGATAGAAATCATAACAATGATGGCTCTACAAACATTTTCCTTGGTGGAAAAGTTACCAGACTACTTCTAGCAGATCTGTCAGAAAATTACTCAGAGCATCATTAAGCAGAAACCTTCATTATGGATACTGAGGCAATTCCAAAGGAATGTTTTACTTAGGGAGAAGAAAGGTGAGTTCTTTTGTTACTTTTCTGGTGTCTAAAATAATTGTTTAATGATTTTCAAAAGAGGGAGGAATTGTTTTTTCAGATTAACAGCCATTGGTGAACAATTTGATTTTATCTAAAGAGGTAGGGAAGAAGAGCTGCAGGAAAATAAGATCATGTAGTTTCACAGTTGCCATTTTTTTCAATACATCAGGGGCTTTTCTATATTCAACTTTGAAATTCGGTGATAGTTGGTGCTTTTGAACAAAAAAGATAACTGGGAACTCATGCTCTTCATTTAAGAGATCTGTAGGCTTTTCTGGAACACTGATAAAGCAAACGATGTGCCAAACAAATGGATAAGGAAGACTTTATTCAAAACTATTCAAAACTATTTTTTATACAAGGGAGATTGGACCATACTCTACTAAGAAAAAAGACAAAGTGAGCTAGTAGAAGAGTAATGGAGGACGTTAGGGGAGAGGTTGATCAATGAAATGTGAGCACACTGAGTTACTTCTGAGTCTGCAAATTGTTTTCTCTGTGATGAAGCCTGTGTTAGTTTTTTCTCACACTGCTATAAAGAATACTACCTGAGACTGGATAATTATAAACAAAAAAGTTTTAATTGACTCACGGTTCGTCATGGCTAGAGAGGCCTCAGAAAGTTTATGATCATGATGGAAGGCTAAGGGGAAGCATGGTGGCAGGGGAAAAAAAAGAGAGCAGGAGAAACTTCCACTTATAAAACCATCAGATCTCGTAAGAATTCACTCACTATCACGAGAAAAGCATGGGGGAAACCCCAGTCACTTCCCACCAGGTCCCTCCCTCAACACCTGGGAATTACAATTCCAGATGAGATTTGGGTAGGGACACAGAGCCAAACCATATCAAAGCCATTCATGTTTGTTAATTAATGCCTATTAAAGTTAGCTTCCTATCCTCCCTAAGGATTAGTAGATAGAAGTGCAGTTTTCTCAAATATTTATATTTCATCTGGATAAAGACATTTCTGGGTCATAAAACTAGGAAGAAAAGTGAAAAAGGTTTGGGCCCACCTTAAAGTGGCAGGGATAGAATTTATAATTTCAAGATTTCAGAAAATAAATGCTCTAAAAAAGGGCAGTCAGGGGCCTATAGTTAGAATGAAATCTGTCTAAAGTTTAGTCAAGTTGAAGGAATTTTAAGGCCATCTTTGTAAAGGCTCAAAAGGTATAATTAATTTACACATGAAAATGGAGTTAATTATATTTCCTTTCTTAGAACATTCCACCAAATACATCAAATTCTTCATAGGACTGGTAGAACTCAGAAAAGAAATAAAAATGGTGTATATATTTGTCTTTCAAATTAGATTGTTTTAAAAAGCATGGTTTAACAACTTGGCACAAAAGTATGGTTTTACATAGCAAGAACCATCCCCCTGAGACCACGTAAGCGGAAAAGGCTTTTTTCTTGAACTCCAAGTTTTTTTTTTCTAAATGCCATACAATTGAGTAAATAATTGATATTCCCTGGAGACTTTTTTGTATAAGGAAATAAAGTTATTTCTCTTTGATTAGTGAAATTTCAGAAATTTGGCTAGAATAAAACTAGAGAAAAGATACTTTCATTTGTTTTTTGTTTCTTTGCTTTTATTTTTAATTTACATACAAGAATTATATCTATGGGGTACAATGCAGTGTTTCAATGCCCAAATACAAGGTGTAATGTTCAAATTAGGGTAATTAGTATATCCATCACCTGAAACACTTATCATTTATTTTTGGTGAGAATATCAAAAATCTTGTCTTCCAGATATTTTGAAATACACAATGTACTATTGTTAACTATAATAACTCTAATATGCAATGCAGCACTAGAATTTATTCCTCCTTAATATAACTTTGCACTCGTTTAACTTTTCCCCTTCCTCATCTCCACTTCCTAGTCTCTGGTGACCACTATTCTCCCATCTACTTTTGTAAGATCAACTTGTTCTTTTTTGGTTCCATATGAACTTTAAAGTAGTCAATCCTAAGCTAAAAGAACAAAGCTGGAGGCATCACGCTACCTGACTTCAAACTATACTACAAGGCTACAGTAACCAAAACAGCATGGTACTGGTACCAAAACAAAGATATAGATCAATGGAACAGAACAGAGCCCTCAGAAATAACGCCGCATATCTGCAACTATCTGATCTTTGACAAACCTGAGAAAAACAAGCAATGGGGAAAGGATTCCCTATTTAATAAATGGTGCTGGGAAAACTGGCTAGCCATATGGAGAAAGCTGAAACTGGATCCCTTCCTTACACCTTATACAAAAATTAATTCACGATGGATTAAAGACTTAAACGTTAGACCAAAAACCATAAAAACCCTAGAAGAAAACCTAGGCATTACCATTCAGGACATAGGCATGGGCAAGGACTTCATGTCTAAAACACCAAAAGCAGTGGCAACAAAAGCCAAAATTGACAAATGGGATCTCATTAAACTAAAGAGCTTCTGCACGGCAAAAGAAACTACCATCAGAGTGAACAGGCAACCTACAAAATGGGAGAAAATTTTCGCAACCTACTCATCTGACAAAGGGCTAATATCCAGAATCTACAATGAACTCAAACACATTTACAAGAAAAAAACAAACAACCCCATCACAAAGTGGGCAAAGGATATGAACAGACACTTCTCAAAAGAAGACATTTATGTAGCCAAAAAACACATGAAAAAATGCTCATCATCACTGGCCATCAGACAAATGCAAATCAAAACCACAATGAGATACCATCTCACACCAGTTAGAATGACAATCATTAAAAAGTCAGGAAACAACAGGTGCTGGAGAGGATGTGGAGAAATAGGAACACTTTTACACTGTTGGTGGGACTGTAAACTAGTTCAACCATTGTGGAAGTCAGTGTGGCGATTCCTCAGGGATCTAGAACTAGAAGTACCATTTGACCCAGCCATCCCATTACTGGGTATATACCCAAAGGACTATAAATCATGCTGCTATAAAGACACATGCACACGTACGTTTATTGAGGCACTATTCACAATAGCAAAGACTTGGAACCAACCCAAATGTCCAACAATGATAGATTGGATTAAGAAAATATGGCACATATACACCATGGAATACTATGCAGCCATAAAAAAATGATGAGTTCATGTCCTTTGTAGGGACATGGATGAAATTGGAAATCATCATTCTCAGTAAACTATCACAAGGACAAAAAACCAAACATCGCATGTTCTCACTCATAGATGGGAATTGAACAATGAGAACACATGGACACAGGAAGGGGAACATCACACTCTGGGGACTGTTGTGGGGTGGGGGGAGGGGGGAGGGATAGCATTAGGAGGTATACCTAATGCTAAATGATGAGTTAATGGGTGCAGCTCACCAACATGGCACATGTATACATATGTAACTAACCTGCACATTGTGCACATGTACCCTAAAACTTAAAGTATAATAATAATAAAAAAAAGATCAGCTTGTTCTAGATTCCACATATGGGTGAGATCATGTGGTCTTTGTCTTTCTGTGCCTAGCTTATTTCACTTAACATAACATAATCCAGGTTCATCCATGTTGCTGCAAATGTCAAGATTTTGTTCTTTTTATGGCTGAATAGTATTTCCTTGTATGTGTAACAAATGTTCTTTATTCATTCAAAGATTGATGGACGTTTAGCTTTAATCTATATCCTGGCTATTGTGAATAATGCTGCCATGAACATGGGAGTGTAGATATTCCTTTGACATTCTGATTTAATTTTCTTTGGATATTTGCCCACTAGTGGGATTTCTAAATCACGTAAGATCCTTCTATTTAAGTGAGTTCCTTATAACCACTCCTCACAATGTTGGCCCAGATTAGGGTTACATGATAGCCTTCAGGAGAATCCCAATCAGAAAGCACTTGATTTCTATTTGGAACTTTGAAAAAAACTTCAGTGCCAAAGTGTAGTGCTTGTAGAACAGTAAAAAGGTAGAATGGCTTAGTTAGACAAAGAGAAATACCAGGATAATGCTTCCTTTTTCTCATGAACTGGTTATGGTCTGCAGGAAATTTAGATGTTTTATATGCCTCGGTAGGAGAAAAAGACTTGGATAAACTACACAGACCAATGGACCTAGAAGTCCTGGGCTATGAAAAAGAAGAGCCCAGAACATTGAGATCTCCTAACTAAGGACATTGACACATAGCATATACATCAGGAGTGGAGATCTAAACACTCCCAAAGGCTGGTTTGTACTTGCTACATCCCTGGAAGATGCCGTCAAGGATGTGGAGGATGGTATAATTCTAGAGGTTTCTTCCAATGACACCTTGTAACCTTCCTCTGAAGCCAGGATTCATCCAGAAAGAAAGGAAAAAGTAAAGAAAACTATAAAGACTACTACCTGAGACTGGGTAATTATAAACAAAAAAGGTTTAATTGACTCACAGTTTGTCATGGCTGGAAAGACCTCAGGACATAAGTTTTTTTCGAATGCCAACATAAGTTGGAATTCAAAAAAAATAGAAAGTGGTAGTATTCTGTACTCAAAAGAAAAAAAGTCTATCATTGTATCAGAAATACTATACATTTTTTCTGTAACAAAAAGTTGACTGATTGATTGTTAATGTTTGTGCCATGTCATTTCTTTAGTATTTTGTTACTTAACAGGAGATATTTTCTAAAATATACAATAATATAAAGCTAAAAGGAATGAAAATTATACATGGCAAGAAATTATTTGATTAAACAATAAAAGTACTAAAAGAATTAATTTTTGATGCCCATTGCTTCCAGAAACAGGGCCAGGGGCTTAATTTATATTATTTCATAACAATGGCTCGTGGTCTGCTCAGGCTTCCCTGACTTGTATGTATGAGGTATTAACAATGAGTATCAGTGATTTTTATTGCCAAAATCATATGCTGCACCAATTTCAACATAGAATTACTCTGGAGTCGTTTTGTATAAGTACAGCATTCAGGGCTGGATTTATGGGTATATGACCAATACAAGGACAGAGGACCCTGCAAAGAGAAGGGTGTCATACCTGGTTTAATGCTTTGCCTTTACTGTCTTAAAATTCTAAATAATTTTGTCTCAGTACTTTTGTAAGTGATGTCTGATGAGACAATGAAGAAAGCGTGTAAAGAGGGGAGATACACTCAGTGTGTGTGTCTGGCATTTCTTGTCATCTCATTTTACATGTGCTTGGGAGGCCTCATGAGCACAGAATTCTGGTGGACTTGTGATCCATAAAAATTGAGCAAGACTTATAAAAAGAGTACAAAGTAACTGTGTGAGGTCTATGACTGGGTAAGCATGAGTACTGACAACAATTAGAGGCTAGCCATGCTTTCCATCTGAAACAGAACTTGCTTTGAATGCATAAAGAAGGCAATGAGGCTCTAAGAAGCCCCAGCAACCAAAGAACCATACGATATCTTTTCTTACTCATATTATTTCCCTTTATTAATCAAGCACTTACCCTGAAAATGATGGCATAGAAGGAAAGAGAAAGATAGAGCAACCCATATTTCCTTTTTCTTTCATTTCCTCCTTACATGTACTTCTTTTACATGCATAGTCAACCAACTGCAAATCAAAGGTAGGGGGTGTTGGTTGACTGTGCATGTACAAAAAAGTAAAATAAACACACAGTTTTGTTTAGCATTTCCACTGTTCTGGTAAGAATGAAATGCATATCCATATACAAGCTATGAAATACACATTGTGTAATTTCTGCATATGAATTAAATGTTTTTATATTTGCATTTAAAACTGGTATTATACAATATAATGAAAAACAATGACATTCTTTTATTTATTTATTTATTTATTTATTTATTTATTTATTTATTTATTTTGAGACGGAGTTTCACTCTTGTTTCCCAGGCTAGAGTGCAATGGCACGATCTCAGCTCACTGCAACCTCTACCTCCTGGATTCAAGTGATTCTCCTGCCTCAGCCTCCCAAGTAGCTGGGATTACAGGTGCCCGCCACCACGCCCGGCTAATTTTGTATTTTTAGTAGAGACAGAGTTTCACCATGTTGGTGAGGCTGGTCTCGAACTCCTTACCTCAGGTGATCCACCTATCTCGGCCTCCCAAAGTACTAGGATTACAGGCATGAGACACCGTGCCCAGCCTTGACATTCATATTAATAACTTAAAGTATTAATGTATCTTTGTTTAGCCTGACATAAAATAGCAAATAAAAATGCCGTAAGAAATTGGAAAGAAACTTCAGGGAAAAAAGGAGAAATTGTATATGTTAGTTCTTTTAAAAACAACCTTTTCGTGCATTTTGAAATAGGTTTTCCAAGTTTTAATTTCACATTGAACCCCACAAGTCATACTGGTGACCATGACAGCATTCTTTGTTGCTAGTTCTTGGCCTTTTTTTCCTGCTACCAGTATTACATTTTGCTGTTGAGGTTAGGATCCTGATAAAAGCCAACTTGGGCATTAGTAAATAGAAACCTGTTCTCAAAAGCTACTGTTTAATAATTAAACACGTCCTCAACTTTTAAACCAAGGTTGTTTAGAATGGCTCCCTTGAGGCATATTGAACAGTCTGATGTCAGTTGTCCTTCTTCCTAGGATAGATACATTATGAAATGTTCAATCCAGCCTGAAGTAGGCAAAATAGAGAGCATGGAAAAATAAATATGCTATGTCCTGGCCGATGTATAGAACTCAAGCACATAGAGTGTGATTTCTCATTGACAATAAAATAGTGGACATCTGGTTTATGAAGTTCTCAGCAGTACCATAAATAAATTTCAAAAACAGAGTTATCTTTTGATAATGACAATGTTGATATTAAAACAATGTTACTTGAGATGTCCTAAATAATATGCTGCAGTGTTACTTTTTTGATATAATAATAAAGTATTTTACTCAAAACTTTCCTGACCTTTATAGCAATCCTTAAAAGCACTTCTAAAGCACTAGTTGTCACAGATATTTAAGAAATGGTTTCTAACATAAATGCTGTGCATCACATGCTAGCAGAACACTTTGCCAGCAAAGCCAGCAAATTACAAGAAATGCACATTCCAGAACTTTCAAAGATCAGGTTATCACTGTTCATCCTGACCTGAAGAAGACAAGAGTTATTCTTGTTCATAGGTTCAGAGTCTACACCAATAGACCCTGACATTTGAAATGCCCCCTTGAATGTTTTCTGTCCCTAATTTTAAAAAACACTGGGAATTCTAGTCAGTATCTCAGCACTCACACAAGCTGGCATCAGAGATGGCACCACACATGACCATTAGAACTAAGGGAGATATTATCAGAGGTTCCTCGTTATTATAGGAGATAAGTGTTACAAGGTAGGATGAGAAGAGATACACAGCGTATCAAGAGTGATGTTTTAATGAAAAGGATATATTATGTTTCTGTGTTACATCTGAAAGGAAACAAAACTATGACATATTTTAGGCATGCTGCCCAACACATATGGCCAGTGTGCATAAAAGATAAGCTTGGTTGTGCTACAAAGTGCTGTGGCTTAGAGACAGGCTGGTTGGGCACAGTTCTAGAGAGCTTGCTAGGGGTGGTGATGTTGGCGCACATCAAGGGAGGAAGGCTGAACACAGCAGAGGATGGCTATGTGTAATATAAAACATCGCATCAGATGCTGCAGAGTAAGCGGCTTCTGCCTCTACACACAGTGAAGAGCCACATACTGGCATAAGAAATTTAAGATTTTCAAATGAACCTGTTTCATATTATTTCACTTTTTCACATACTCTTTATGCACTTCTTTATTTTCTTTAGAATATCTAGTGACATGTACCAATTACATATTTGAGGTGGAATTCACTAATCAATATGTTATCCAAGGTATCCAAAATTTATTTTTCTTGCCCTGTTATTAAGGTCTGATAGGACTTTGAGATTGATTATTAATTGCAGTAAAAACATATATGTAATATTTACCATCTTAACCATTTCTAAGTGTGCCACATACTTATGTTAGCTACATTCACATACATCTACAACAAATTTCCAGAATTTTCTCAACTTGCAAAACTGAAACTCTATATCAATTGAACAACAATTCTCACCTCCCTCCCCCATATGGAAACCTTCATTCTACTTACTGTCTGTATGAATTTGACTACTTAAGATACTTCATATAAGTGGAATCATACAATATTTGTCTTTTTTTGTTACTGTATTTTTTTTTTTTTGAGATGGAGTCTTGCACTGTCACCCAGGCTGGAGTGCAGTGGTGAAACCTTGGCTCACTGCAACCTCTGCCTCCCTCCCGGGTTCAAGCGATTCTCCTGCCTCAGCCTCTTGAGTAGCTGGGACTACGGGTGGGTACCTCCATGCCCGGCTAATTTTTTTTTTTTTTTTTTGTATTTTTAGTACAGACGGGGTTTCACTCTGTTGGCCAAGCTGGTCTCAAACTCCTGACCTAGTGATCCACCTGCCTCAGCCTCCCAAAGTGCCTGGATTACAGGCGTGAGCCACCAAGCCTGGTTTGGATTTTTTAATTTAACGTAAGATTCTCAAGGTGCCTCCATGTTTTAGCTTCTGGCAGAATTTCATTTGTTGTTTAAGACTGAATACTATTCCACTGTGTGTACATACCACATTTTCTTCACTCATTAACCCACGTGTGAGAAACACGCTCACCCGTCCAAACCCAAAGAATGGACTTAGAAGCATGAAGAAGGGCGAAAGCGGTCTTGCAAGATCGTTTGTCTGGTAGGCAGGTAAACCCGGAACAGTTACAACAGGTAATTTATCTCCTGGCAGGCAAGTCCCTCCCCCAGTTTCTCACTGGTCGAGTGCTATGGGGTTACAATATTCCGGGGCATTGCCTAAGTTTTATTATCCTCCTTATAAGGTTATAACCTGGTCCCCTTCCCCGCTTGTTTTCATTTCCCAATAACGAAATTTGCTTTCCTTTTATGGGCTGATCCCTCCTTTACATTCTGTTGGTTTATCGTGACCTTCTAGGTGCATGAGCCGTGCAGTTTGTTACATTTGCAGGCTGGATGCCAGTACCTAGACTTATCATGCCTTGAAAATGGACCATTTAAAATATTTTCTCACACATTGCTGCACCAGGGTTGTTGTCACCTTTTGGTTTTGTGAATAGTACCACTATGGGCATGAGTGTACAAATATATTTTAAGGCCCTGCCTTCAATTATTTTAGATACATACCCAGAAATGAGATTGTTGGATCATATGGTAGTTACATTTTTAATTTTTTGAGGAAGCTTTATACTGTTTTCCATAGCAGCTGCATCATTTTACGTTTCTACCACCAGTGCAAAGGGTTCCAATTTCTCCATATCATATCCAACACTTGTTATTTTCTGGGTTTTTCTGAATAATGGCCATCCTAATAGGTGTAAGGTGATATTTCTTTGTGGTTTTGTTTTGCATTTTTCTAATGATTAGTGATGTTGAGCATATTTTCATATGCTTGTTCGCTATTTGTATATTGTCTTTAAGAAAATGTCTATTCAACCCTGTCTATTTTTAATAGGGTTATTTGTTTTTTATTGTTGAGTTGTAGAAATTTTTTAATATATTCTATATATCAGGACCTTATCAAATGCACGATTAGCAAATATTTTCTCCAATTCCATATGTTGCCTTTTCACTCTGATGATTGTTTCCTTTGAGCAAAGAAGATTTTTTAAAATTTGGTGCAGTCCCATTTATCTATTTTTGTATGTTACCTGTGCTTTTGGTACAATACTTAAAAAATATTGCTAAATCCAATGTTATGAAGTTTTTCTTCTCTGTTTTCTTCTTGGGATTTTATAGTTTGGTCTTATGTTTAGGTCTTTAATTCACTTTTAGTTAATTTTTGCATGGTGTAAGGATCTAATTTCATTATTTTGTATGTGGATATCCAGAATTCCCAACACTATTTGTTCAAGAGAATGCCTTTTCCCTATTGTGTGGTCTTAGCATATTCAACCCTTATTGAAGATCCTTTGTCCATATATAAAAGAGTTTATGCCTGCTATTCTCTTTCATTTCTCTATATGTCTGCTTTTTATGCCAGTACCACACTGTTTTTATTACTACAGCTTTGTAATATGCTTTGGAATAAGGAATTGTGAGATTTTTAAACTTGGTTTTCTTTCCTTAAAGATTGTTTTGGCTATTCAAGATCCCTTCAAATTTCATGTGAATTTTAGGATTTTCCCCTTAATCTGCAAAAAAAAAAAAAAAAAAAAAAAAAAAAAAGAATGCTATTGGGATTTGATAGGAATTGGATTGAATCAGTGGATGCTTTGGCTACTATGAACATTTTAATAGTAATCCTTCTGATATATTAACATGGTCAAAATAGTCAAAATTCTTAACCTATTCTGCAACTACTACAAAATGAATGGTATTTCAGACACTCCTAAGACTAGTCATTCTCAAATTTTATGTAATTGTAAAATACTTACATGGAACCACAGTTACATTTGGCTAAGTAAAAGAAACTTTGGAAACCTATCCAGTTTTTATCCATAAAATATGCATATTTGTTATTTAATTACAGTTTTAAAAACTTCTCAGCATGATAAACAAAGCCAATGTGAAAAGATCTCAACACACACACACACACACACACACACACACACCTGTGTTTCTTTCCCTCTCTGCATATAATGTCTATAGGTATGTGCTATATGTTATATGTCTCATATATATACACGTACATTATATATGCACAGATACATATTTTTTAAGTGCAACTTTTAAAAACCTCGTTGTTCAGCTTTAAAATAAGAAAATTTATCACCTTCAGAAGCAAAATAGCACTCAGAAAAGCCAAGGTCATCAATGAGAACTGAGGTAGGAGGACACAAATGATTATAGGAATCAAATATAAGCCTTGGAGATCAGTTTTAATGACCACACGGACATGAGATAGACACTAAGGCTCATCACTGTAAAGCTACAGATAACTTGTGGATAAATGAAAAGCCACCAAGGAAATGTCTGGACTTTAGTCTTGTTTCATATGTATTTTCTAGCATTGTAAATAATACTGCTACATAAGTTTCCTAGGGCTGCCATGACACAATACCACAAATTAGGGGCTTACAACAACAGAAATCTATTCTCACATGGTTCTGGAGACCAGAAATTCAAAATCAAGTGTTGGTAGAGTTTGTTTCTTCTGTAAGCTCTGAGAAAAAAAAAAAAAAATTGTTCCATGATTTTCTCTCAGATTCTGGTGGTTTCCCAAGAATGCTTGGCTTGTAGATGTATCCCTATAGTCTCTATCTTCATCTTCACATCAGATTCTCCTCTTAGTGTCTCTATATCTGAAATCTGTGTTTTATGAACACACAGGTCATTTAATTTAGAACCCACACTAAATCCAAATAATTTCATCTTGAGATCCTTAATCCTATCTGCATATATGCTATTTTCAAATAAGGTCACAATCACAGGTTCTGGGAATTAGGACTTGGACATGTATTTTTGGAGTCACTAATCAACCAACTACTGCTACCAACATAATTTTGGAAAAGAAATTCAAATTAAATCAGTCTAGATTAAGTGAAACTTTCAGATCCTGGTAACGGCAAACTGAAAACCTTCCCTGGACAAGCCAGGTTGTTCTGGATGCCAATGAAAAAAAAAAAATAAACACAAACTCATAATTATAACCCACGTGAGAGATAGAAAATGACTAGCTCCACACATTTAATAAAAGAAAGATTGTGTTTCAAATAGTCAGATAAAAAATGTGTTCTACTGTCAAAGTGTACCCTCTTCTAATTGTCAACTGAAATGAATAGGGTAAGAGGGGCACATTAATCTCTCTTTATCATTCTTCTTTTCTTTCTGTTATTTTAATTCCCTGTTCCATTTCTGCCCCTCTCTTCCTGCTTCTCCTTGTCCTCCTTTTTTCCTCTTCCTCATTTGCCTCTCTCTCCTTTATTAATTTTCATAATGCAATAAATAATCTGAGATTAGCACTATATGATTAAAGATATATAACAATTAATGGCAGTGTACGATTCTAATAGTTTGGCTCCTTTCTTTCCTCTTAGAATATTGTAAGATTGGATTCCTTTTGAATGAATTATTGCTGCATAATATCTTACTGACATCAAGAGAAGTTAGAACTTCTAAAATAATACTAAGATTTAAACTTGTCTCAATATTTAAAGGTTTTTCATGGTTTTTGCTATAATATTCTGATCAATGTCCATCCTATGTATCTTTGACACAATATCATTTAATTTGGATTTAGGTATTTATAGTACTGGTCATTTTTGTTTAGATGTGTTTTTCCCTAGGTTATGGCAATGATTTATTTTCCCAAGATATAAAATAGTATATTTTACTCAATTTTTACCTCATAGCTATTTATGGATTTATAGTCAAGTGTTTTATTTCACAACTTCTGTCTGAGTTTCTATAAATTTGAAATTCTATTATTTTAAAAATGGATATGCATACACATACACACATACGCACACATTCTCTAATCTTACTCCACAAGCTACAAATCTGTTGTAAAGTGCTGGTGAAAAAAATAAATTTATGATTATGACTTTCAGAGGATATTATTCAAAACTCTAAACATCAGAATTCTTTCATAAAATTGGAAGCAGGGTTTTTCAAGGAAACTCCCTAGTCTCTGTGCCACAGCTGCTGCCTTTCTGGTGTTAACCCTTAAGCCAGTGCCTTCCTGATTTTCCCAAATAAACAATTATCTTCTACAAATTACTTCTCTTTAAAATAGCTAGAATTTTTTGTTATCTGCTGCCAATTGTCATTTGCTATACTATCTGCTATTAGTAGCAATTTGAGTCTATGGACCTTCTAGGCCCTTTTGTCAGAAATTAGAGTTTATCCAATCATATAGTGTTTGAAAGTGATGAAGCTATGTAGTTAGTGTTAAAACGTGAGACTCAGGTTGTATATAATACACAGTACAAATATTATTTATATCATTACCTGTGTTTGTTATAAATAAAATCTCTTTTATGGCAGGCTAAAGTACACTAAATGGAGACAACCATCACAAAATAAAAGTATTGTAGGATTAAATGGCTTCTTTAACTGCCATAGAGCTCTGAAAAAAGAAAGCACCTGCTTAGGACTTAAAATGCCTGGCTCAGAGCATGAAGACTTATGTCTGCCTTTAAAAAAGGTCACTTAAAGTCACATAGCTGGCGTACCAAATTAGATATAGAATTTCATTTCCTGGGCTGCTGTGCTACAAAATAGATCAAATTCAAATTCATAGCCATGATAAAATTATGGGAAGCTAAGAGCATTGATTGGCAGAGTATGACGCTCCTGGGGGGCAGAATCAGTGTCTTCCTGTTATGTGAGCTTGGCCCTCTGTTTCATCAGGATCTTCTTGTGACATCACAAGAGAAAGGCTTTTTGCAAGGTAATACCAACTTTCCTTATGGCACTTTACCAGTTACTAGAATCAGAGGATTCATTTCAAACCGAGGAATAAGTTATATAACAAAAAGATTACAAGATTTTGCTGATTTATACTGGTGAAGCTGGCACAGGGATCAGATTTTAATGAAATCAAATGAAAGAGGGGAGAATGTATTTTAAGTAGGCTTGGACTAGTACATTTGTTTTTGTTTTTGTTTATTTTGATTGTTTCATTAAATGATTCCTGAACCCAAAAGTGGCCTACATGTAAAATGATATGACAAAACTTCTTTTTTATAATACAGAAGAAGGTATCCAAAGGCCTGGGTAGATAGGAAGGCTAGAGAATATATCTATTACATATGGCTGCTCACACATCACTTAAATACATGTTTTCCTCACTGCAATAATGCTTTCCCTAAATCTCTATCCATAAACTTAACTTTTAAAAAATCATTATATTAGCCAACACTGATTTTGATTAAGAAATACATCCGGGAACAGCGCAGTGGCTCACCTCTGTAATCCCAGCTACTCGGAAGGCTGAGGCAGGAGAATCACTTGAACCCGGGAGGCAGAGGTTGTAGTGAGCTGAGATTGCACCCCTGCGCTCCAGCCTGGGTGACAGAGTGAGACCTCTCAAAAAAAAAAAAAAGTACATTTGATTAAGAAAGTCATTTTACATCAGTATTTAGACAGTAGGCTCAAGCTTATTTTACATCAATATTTAGACAAAGCGCTCAAGCTTATGAAATTCACTAGGATTTATCATGTATGCCCCAAGAAGAAGTCACTGTCCTGATACACGGGAGATATGGCCTGCTATTATGAAAACATCCATACTTACGCTGTTACATGGTAGGCCACACTTAAAATACTGGCGTTCAGACATACAGGTTGGATTATATTTATACCAAATGCCTATTGCTTTGGAAAGCTAATGCCATTTCCACTCTCAAAAACCATATGAGAATTGAAAAGTTTTTTGATTTTTTTTCCAGAATCCAACTTCTGCTAGCTTCTAGACATTATTAATTTATTAGAAAGAAAACAAAAAAGAACACATTGTCATTCTGTTTTATATAGTATATGGATTATATTTAAATTTTACTATGAGGTTTAAAAGTGCTTAGCTAAGAAAATGTTAAGAATACATAAATAACTTAAAAAGGAACAAAATAATGTTCAGAATAATTCTATCACTTAGCCGTAGAGCATATGGCTAGAGGCTTTAGTTTCATTCTTCAGTAAAAATATACAAGTCTGCTATTAAATAATTTCCCTATTTCTCAAAGTTTTAAAGTTTATCAGGTATATTCACATATTTAATGACCAAAAGTAATTAAAAGTTTATAATTCTTCAAAAGTTAATTGAAAGAAACAAATATATTTAAATAACTATTTTTATTCATTGTTCAGACTGAATGATAATAATTTTACCATGATTTGAGTATGTTGTTCTATGTTATATAATCTTTAGCAGAAAAAAAATTTCCCCATAGGAAAGTATTGAAAATTAAGTTACATTATGTTAGTGTTACGCTTTTCTCTAAAATATCTGGTCTCAGTTTTTTTGGAAATAAGTACTAAGCATATATATACCCAACTAGATGAACTATTGATCTGTTCCACTGTGGAAACTCCTTATACGTTTGTTGTTACTGTTAATTTTAGTTTTCTCTATTGTTGTCTAAGTGAACACTCAATTGTCAAAGCCTTTGTTCAGAGTAACACAAAGGCCAATAGGTTGATACATGACACAGAGATTTTTAACACAGATATTTTAAATTATCTGTGCTACACAAAGTTGGCTCGTATAATAAGTGTGTTTTCTCCCATCCTGAATTAATCATTGCCTTATTTTGATAGCACCTAGCACTATTACTGTATAGAGAAATGCTCATGGGAAAAAAATCAAGATTCAATAATGCGGTGATTTATCAAGGTAAAGACATTGTGAATAATTTATCTTTGTAGCATTTCCCAGTGTTTTCACTTTGCCTGACACATAATAAATTACTGACTAATTTTTTTTGAATGTTTATGCGAGCGATGTTGTGAAAAATAAGGTTTCTCTCTCCATATTTGTGACTACATAAAGTTAACAATTGATTAATATGATTAATTTTCAACTTGATTCAAGCAACAGTGTCTGGCCTGCATAGGCGCTGAATAATTCACGTTAAAATACAGCTTATAATTCACAGAACTATACTGTTTTATTATCTTTGCCCAAATATTAATGTAAAAAGTCTTCTTCCCTAAATATTTCAATTAATCTTCTAAGAAACCCACATGACCCTTACTCTACTCTAATTTCCACAGACTGTGAAAATATACCAAAAGTTGAAGAGCAGCTGAATTCCAACTGTGAGTATTTATTCGCCCAAATGAGTGATTAGATATTTAAAGTAAGCTGAGGAAATAAAATTAAGAATGCAGTCTGAAACACGAAAGTTATCTTGTGAAATTGAATATCAATGATATAAAAACTAATGAGATTTGCAAGAACCTCCCTGTCATTTTTAGGCATACATTAATGACACGGAAATATTAAAGTAGAAAAATGGTAGGGCATAATTAGGAAATATTTTTATTTAAAGAGAGCCATGAAAAATAAAGAAGATTATATATCAGTAGAGTAATTTTATGCAGAATCCATTTCATTTATGTAACACAATTTGGTTTTATCTTTTGCTTGGCCTGTATTACATCGGACAGATTAGGCATTTATAATTATCAGTGCAGATTGTTACAAAGTAAGGACTGAATATTAGATTTTAGATTAGGAATAATAAAGTATGAAAATAAAGGATGCTCAAAAAAGTAAATATTTACTTTCTTTGGGTGGTGACGTAGACACAATGATTTTAATACATCATGTTTTTAGGAAAGGGAATAGAGGAAATCGGTAAATTTTATAAAATAATAAATACTACTGTAGCTAATTTTTTTCTTAACATATGAAAGTGTTGGTGATACTCTGTATTGTGCTTTTAGCACGTTGGCAGATACTCTTATTTAGAGATTAAACCTATTTTGATCTACAGTAATCCAGTACTTAGACACATGCACCTTCTAAAATGACTACAATGCAGAACTATTGGTCAAATCAATTTATTTAGCTAGAAACCACTCCGTCAATCACTCCATGATTTTAAAATCATGTAGACAAAGAAAGTGATATAATTCTTGCTTTAATTTTGTAAAGTAAAGCAAATTTATAAATTTTATTAATAATTAGTTTAAACTTTTAAGTTTCTGATTTACAATTACATTTAGGTTTGGAATAGATGTTTCTTTTCTTTTTCTTTTTTTTAAGATGAAGTCTCGCTCTGTTGCCAGGCTGGCTGGAGTGCAGTGGCACGACCTCCACTCACTGCAACCTCCGCCTCCCAGGTTCAAGCGATTCTCCTGCCTCAGCCTCCTGAGTAGCTGGGACTACAGGTGTGCACCACTACGCCCAGCTAATTTTTGTATTTTTAGTAGAGACAGGTTTTCACCATGTTGGCCAGGATGGTCTCAATCTCTTGACCTTGTGATTTGCTCACTTCGGCCTCCCAAAGTGCTGGGATTACAGGCATAAGCCGCAGAGCCTGGCCTGGAATAGATGTTTCTTATAGCTGCCATTTGCTGGGTCACGAGTTTCTAAATTTAAAACATGAGATAGGTGTGGAGGTGTATCGTATTCCCCAAGACTCTAGTTTGAACATTCTTTTAATCTCCAAATAGAAGTGTTAATTCTATAAGAAGCTTTCAAATACACAGTTTTTTCATATAAAGAGTTGAAATGAAAAGAAGTATGACTACACAAGGGCATTTTACAGTTGACTAAGCAGTTCATTTAACCCAAACTGTTTATACAAGAAATAGATTTTAACCAAGAAAAATGTACATTAAATAAAATAATAATTTCCACATTATCTTTATTATAGGTCATATAAAGAGCATACGTTCTGAGGACTAACTCTGGAAAATATTTCCATTGTATTTGTTTCTATAGATTTAATGTTGTGATCTATTTCTTCTCTTTCTTCAGACACATACCTAAAACCTATGTTCCCTCTCCCAAAGTACACAATCCCTCACCAATTCACCCAATAATTTCCAAGTATCATATTTAGCTAAATATTTTAGGTAACATAGGACTGCTGTGATAGTTAAAACTAGATCAATTCTCATGTCTTCTACATAGTTCACATGTATTATTTATAAGAAAAATATTTCCTGCTCCAGTGACTATTTAGTACAGTATTCTCTCCACCCAGAATTGTTTTCCTAAGTTTTCTAGAGAAATTTCTCCTTCTTTAAAACTAAAGTTAAAAGTTACCTGTCCTGAGAAACTTATCTGCACATCTCCAAGCACAGGAAATACCTCCCTCGCCTAATTTTTGTTCTCTTAACACCCAAATGGTCATTGGCGTAAGTGTACAGTCACAACTGTGATAAGTTTATGTCAAAGTTATTGTCATCTTTGTGTCCACAGCACCTAGAAGTCCCTGACTCTAAATACTTAATAACATTTGAGATAAATTTTTTAAAATAATATGTTTATAATAAATGGTATGTCTCCTCCTACAATAAATTCTGTTATAAAATAACTTCCATTTCCACACAAGAACTGGGAAACTGAATTTCTATGTGGGTTTGGGAAAAGAAGGAATACCAGATAGTATCTCTTGTGGAAACCACTGTTAGCCATATTTTTGTCAGCTGTACCAAGGAATATTCCGGACATGCTAAGTTTGGATGCAGCCAAATATGTTCATGTCCCAAGGATATCAATTTTGTTTGTGAATGCGGCTGTGGTACTGTCTTTTTATTGGTTCCTTTATCCTTGTTAGGCAATACCTGCACCATTCCCCTCACGTTGCAATCTTAGCAGATATGTTCAGTTCAAACAAGGCTTCTTATTGAGGCATATGGGCATAGGCATAACTTTACTGATGTAATATTGATTATTTACTTATTAATTCTCTGCTTATGATAGTTCCTTAATAAATTCACTCTATTTTACCATCAAAACTGATCTCAGTATTCAATGCCAACATCTATAAAATTTATGACAACAATTTCATTCTGATATCCCTGCCTGACTAGCTTCTAATTTCAATACACAATTAGCCCCAGCTAGATTCTTTTACAATATCTTTTGTGTTATTTAATTATCTTGCATAATTTCTAATATTTTACATTCTGTTAACTTAATGTCTAACAATTCTAACTTTCCTTTAAAGCCTCATACTCTTGATTAATCTAAATTTCAGCTGGTCTTTGTTGTTTTTCTGAAGTTTCCTCATACTTCAACTAGATTTCTCACTGGCCTCTGACCAAGAGTTATGCATGTATTCTCTAAGACTTGTTTTATGTTGTTCACCTGACAAGAAATTTCTGTTGATTATGCATCCTAGTTAAACAATCATCCTTTGATTCTCTACAGAACTCATTATGTATACCACTAGATACTTATAATTTACTATCTACTACAACTTATTTCCTTCTTAGGCATACAAGATTTATCTTTAAATTGGATTTTAAATAGAATAGAGTCTTATAACTGTTATACACGTTAAATCTATCATAGATTTTGTACAAAATTGGTATTAGTAATATCAGTTTATTCCATAAAAATTATTTTCAGTTCCCTTTATTACATATCTATAAATTATTCTTTCTCTTGTACTAAAATTTATGTTTCTAAAACCCACTGATTTCTGAAAAATATTTCTCATGAAAAATACCAAAAATGCACATTTAAATTGATTTTATTTCATATTTTCAGATTAATAACTGCTGTAGCCAAAATTGGAACATTAGAATACAATAGTAGTTGTTATAAGCTTATGACAATCCAAATATGTGTTACTCTCTGTTGTAGTAGTTTTCTTATACTTTTTGACCCATAGAGATGGTTAAAATTACATCGATTTTCTACCCCTCCTTGTTAGTATTTGGTTTACAATGTACTTTGTAGTTTATCTATTTCATTCCGGTCTCACCTTGTGACTGGCTTTGACCTGTAGAAAGTAGAAGTTATACATAGCATGCAAATTTGTAGTCTTACCCTCAAAAGACATTGCCACATCAATGTAAGCAAACCTGGGCTGAGTGATGGGAGACCATATGAAACTAAGCCACATTATCCCAATCGAGGCATCTTAAACCAGCCAACTCACAGTGAGCAAGCCTAGCTGAGATCAGTTGAATCTGCAGAGATCAACAAAACGGTGGAGTAATATGGACTGGGGAGCTCCTCCAGGGAGAACTGGGTCCCACTGAAGGAACATGCACTGTCCGCAGAGGGGAGGATCTATGAATACCTTCACAGCAGGATTTCAGAACTGAGAGGAAGAAGTGAATGCTGTGTGCCTCCTATCTATCCTCTTTCTAATGGAACTATTTCTTTCTCTACTGTATATTGAAAATGTGGCAGTTATGTAACTTCTTATGCTCCTAGGCCTCTGGATCAAGAAGATTCATATCTGAGGAGGCACATTCACATTTGCTATAAATAGATTCTGACATTGGAGCCAGACTGGGGACAGGAGTTGGGTTGGGGTGAGCCTATTTTGCATATGAGAAGGGACATGAAAAAGTGGTGCCAGTTGGACTATGGTAAGTTAAAAAATGGCCTCCTTTGCCATCTATTCAGTTATCCACTCTTTTTTATGATGTGACTTTACAACTTTCTCATTAAAAATTGGTCTGCACTTCCTTACCTTTTAAATGTGCGTTGGCCATGTGGTTTGACTAAGAGGTTTAATTGGAAGTAAAATTGTACCAGGTGTGACACTACTTTTTCTAAGACTTTGCACACTTCTGCTCTCTCTCAGCAGCTTTTCACTAGCATGAGATCTAGTCTTTTAGAAAATGAGACCACATAGATCCAACTTCTGTCCCAGCAGAGGTTGTTTTCGACCAGCCAGTCCCAACGCAACTAGCCAGTAGACAGCAGATATAACTGGCATTAGCTATGACTGGCTCTGGTTACCAGAACCACCTACACACCCTTTACACTCCTAACTCAATAAATCTTATTATTTTAAGCCACAAAGTTTGTGGTTAGTTTGTTACATGCCAACAGATAACTGATAACTTTTCTATAATTAAAATTATTAAATGTTTACTAAGCCCTTGATAAGAGAAAGTTGTTTACTAATTCTTTTTCCCAGTGTTTTAATCAATATACATATTTTTCATTAAGTATTGGTAGACTCTGGGTACTCCAGTTTCCTACTGCAGCCCAAAGATGTGCATGTTAGGTTAAGTGGTGTGTCTAAATGGTCTCAGTCTGAGTGTGTGTGTGTGTGTGTGTGTGTGTGTGTGTGCATCCTGCCATGGAATGGCTTTCTGTCTAGGAGTGGTTTCTACCTTGCACGCTGAATGCTGTAATAGGCTCCAGCCACCAATGTCCTCAAATTGGAACAACTGGGTAAATAATTATCTTACTTGTTTCCATTAATCTTTTTAAAATATATGTATAACTCATATTTATTCCAATGTTTAATATTTAAAATGTTTGATCTTTATTTAGAAGCTTGGTGATGTTTCTGTGACCAGGAATACGCTACAGGAATTAACTCTTGTTTATATCAATTAGCCTATGGTAAACTTGGTTTGTTTATATCTTCTTTCACTTAGAGTAACAGTTTCCAAGAACATACCAAGATTGTTAGTGAGGGCTGGGCGCAGTGGCTCAGGCCTGTAATCCCAGCACTTTGAGAGGCCGAGGCAGGCTGATCATTTGAGGTCAGGAGTTCAAGATCAGCCTGGCCAACAGGGTAAAACCCCATCTCTATTAGAAATACAAAAATTAGCCAGGCAGGTGGCATCACGTGCCTGTAATCCCAGCGACTCAGGAGGCTGAGGCAGGAGAATTGCTTGAACCAAGGAGGCAGAGGTTGCAGTGAGCCGAGATCGTACCATGCACTCCAGCCTGGGCGACAGAGCCAGACTCCGTCTTAAAAAAAAAGAAGAAGAAAAAAGAAAAAGAAAAAAAAAAAAGAAACATTAGTGAGGACTTCTTGTATATTTCCACAAAATCAATTCAAATCTTAAAAAAATCTACCTACATAAAGAGCTCTCAAAATTCCTGCCACTAAGAAATATTAGGAAAATATAAACTACAGACTGTATCTCTATAGAGATAAATTATATTTTTTAAAAATTACCATTATTTTTGGGAGAAATAAAAGTAATAGGTCTGTTTCCAACTGTTAGAAAGTCAAGGAGCTGGGCCAGGCACGGCGGCTCACACCTGCAATCCCAGCACTTTGGGAGGCTGAGGTGGGCTGATCACCTAAGGTCCAGAGGTCAAGATCAGCCTGGCCAACATGATGAAACCCCATCTCTACTAAAAATACAAAAATTAGCAGAGTGTGGTAGCAGGTGCTTGTAATCCCGGCTACTTGGGAGGCTGAGGCAGGAGAATCACTTGAACTGGGAAGGTGGAGGTTGCAGTGAGCCAAAATCCACCACTGCACTCCAGCCTGGGTGACTGAGACTCTGTCTCAAAAAAAAAAAAGTCGAGGTTGAAATCCAATCCAATAGATAGATATATTTAGGAATCAGATAATATTATAAACTTCTAAATCAACAAGTGCCATTTAGTTTTCAAAAAGGTGAGTTAGGAACAGACGACAATTGGGACCAGAAGGAAGGTTTTCAGGCATGTATGAGTGGAAATGAGCAAACCAGGTACCATGAATAGTGAGTTGACTGTCTTGCCTTGTGTGTACAAAGAAGGTTGGCTGACACTGATGAGGAACATTGACAGAAAGCAGAGGCCCTCATCATCACAGCAAACAACATGCAGAGATATTGTTTCAAAGAACAAGAATCTGAAACTGTATTCAAAAATATAAACTTATTTTAAAATAAATCTCTCAAGTTGATCCTTAAATTATTTTAAACCATATTTTAACAAAAGAAATTTGCATTTTTATACTAAATACACTTTTGTATTTTCACGTGAAGTTGATAAATACCCAATATATATGAACCAAAATGAATTTAACTGAATCTACTTGCTTTTATTCTAGAGGTTATAAAATTTTTAGTACTTTTCATTAATAAAATGATTTATCAACTAGTTAAAAATTGACTTTTTGGAAAAACTCTTAATTTTGCAAGGATACTTTTGTAGTATCAAGACAATTTTCTGTTTTCCAAGCTGTAATTTTTTCTGACAGTTTTAGAAAATAGAAACAGAACATGGGGTAATATTCTATATGGATTTGATTACTATAATATGTTATATAGTCTAATTTCATTTTTTGAGCCCAAACATAATTACTATTCTTTAATTTTTGTGTTTAAAAACTGCATTATTTAATTAATTATAAAAATAAAGGCATTTGTCTTTGCATATCATCAAGAATTATTAAATATATGTATGTTTTTATTTTAATTCATAAAGATTTAAAATGTATTTGAAATAATTTAGGCATTTCACGACTTTTCAAGGAAAATGTTAATAAAGAGAAAAAAATTATGAAAACTATGTTCCCTTTTTCTGTTAGGAACATCTATTGAAACCCTTAGTGATTCAATAACACAGAAAACGACCAGTGGTCTGAGGTGAATCTATGTTATTTATGTATTTATTTATTTATTTTTGAGACAATTTATCCCTCTGTCACCTAGGCTGGGTGATCATGACTCAATACAGCCTCGACCTCCCAGGCTCAAGCGATCCTCCCACCTCAGCCTCCTAAGTAGCTGGGACTACAGGTGTGCACTACCATGCCCAGCTAATTTTTGTACTTTTTGTAGCAACAGGGCTTCACCACATTAGCGAGGCTGGTCTTGAACTTCTGGGCTCAAGTAATCTACCATCCTCGGCTTCCCAACTGTTGGGATTACAGGCATGAGCCACCACACCTGGCCCTGAGGTGAATCTATAACAAGCCCAGGCCTAGCTGTGAATTGAAGAACACCAAAGTAGAAGTGAACAAAATCAAATGAAGTTTCAAAAGACAAATTATTATTGATAAATAAATAGCTAAAAGAGGAAAGACAATAAGGCAATTGTAGCTCAGTAATTTGTTAGAAATATTGATGAAAAATTGTCATGCAATCCATACTATTTTTTGGTTTAAGTAAATTGGGTATAATTTAGCTATGTGCTTTTCTTTGAATACAGAGAAAAATTAGTGGCATCTGCATCTCCCTTCCTAGGTATACTCAATATTAGGCTTATCTAAATAGGAAGAGAGTGGCTATAGCTAATGAAGGAGAATTTTCAGCTGAAAAAGAAATGACCCTACAATTATCAAAACTTTATTTTCTAATCTCTACTAATTCTAACCCTGGCCATGGGGACTTACATGATTTAATTACCTGCCACAGCTTGCCATGGTTCTCAGGCAGAAGCATCTGCAAGTACACAAGCTTGGACACTAGTAAGAGTTATCAAACTATGATCAAAAACCTGTGGTTAAATGTCACAATTCTTTTTTTTTTTTTTTTTTAAGACGGAGTTTCGCTCTGTCGCCCAGGCTGGAGTACAGCGGCGTGATCTCTGCTCACTGCAAGCTCTGCCTCCCGGGTTCAAACCATTCTCCTGCCTCAGCCTCCCGAGTAGCTGGGACTACAGGCGCCTGCCACCACGCCCGGCTAATTTTTTGTATTTTTAGTAGAGACGGAGTTTCATCGAGTTAGTCAGGATGGTCTCGATCCCCTAGCCTCGTGATCCACCCGCCTCGGCCTCCCAAAATGCTGGGATTGCAGGCGTGAGCCACCGCGCCCGGCCGTCACAATTCATTTCTACTCTGCATTGTCTGAGAGAGAAAAAATAACTAGAGAGAGAGAAAAAATAAATAGTAATGAATATTCTGCATTATAGAAGCAGAAAGCAAAACAAAGAACAAGAAGTGTGAAATGATCCAGGTCATTATCTGTCCCAATATCTCACTCATTGCCAAAGTTATTTTTCAAACATCCACCTGCAGTTGGGCATCAATTTTATTTGTGGCTAGATTAGAGATGGATATCTAATCATCTCACAGGGCTATTCATTTACAATTTGTGTAGTTCCACTAACAAGAAGTTTCTCCTTTCACTTGAGTGGCAGCAAACACAGGTTAAAGGCAAGGATCCTAAAGACAATCTTCCCAGACTTTGTGGGTTTAAATCAAGGTGTTACCATTTATTAGCATCATACTATGTGTATCACATTACCTTTCTGTATATCAAGTCATTCATCCATAAAAGCGGGAAAAGAATAATGCCTTTTGGGGGAAACTAGTATGAAGAATAAATGTGACATACCACCTAAATCCTGAAGCGCAATTTTTGGATAACAATCCATGTAAGAAACTTTTTTGTTATGAATTATTCTAAAATAATGTTTAGTCACTTGTCCTAAAATATCCTATGCCCAATCTGACTGTCACTGGAAAGGCTTTCTAATATTTATTCCTTTACTTTTACAAGGGAAAATAATTCTATGTTTTCGAGTTTTCTTTGTAAGATTCATTTCCTACCTTCATCACTCTGTTTACCTTCTAGACACAAAACATTTGCTACTGTGTCTTCTAAAATATGGTGCCCAGAACAAAAAGAACGAAAAGTCATTTCAGATACGCTCTCACAGGAGTACAGAATTTAAAGGGACATTTTTTTTTCATAGCCATAAAATACTGATGGTTTGTATTAAGTTGTTTTGTTTTGTTTTGATTCACATGAACTGTAGTTAAGCTAAGTCACTTATTGATGGTTGACTGTGTTTGCTGTGCAAACAGAATAAGGTAGGAGTTTCTAGTTGTCCATACGAGGTGCCATTATTTTAGCATGGATCAGGTTTCCTGCTGAACAAATTTTTTAAAAATTCTACTTCTATAACCATGCTAACATTTGCTCCATTTGGTAGCATAGGTTGATGAATACCTTTTGTACTTTGAAATATTTAATGAATATAGGGTCAAGTCTGAATGTCAAGGAACATCACTAGAGACAACCCAACAGACTAACATTGATGTTTTGATTGATGTGCTTTGGATATGGTTGTTATAGCAGGTATTAATTTATCTCACTTATATGAAACCTGCTTCAGGTTTCTACCTTGTAAACAAAATATTTTTTGAGAAACTTTGCCAAACATCTGACAAAAATAGATACATTTTGTCTACATTATGTTTCCCAAATATCTAACCTAAAATGCTATTATAAAAAAGAACTAGAGTAATCAAAGAGGAGTAATTCATATTCATAATAAATCCATAATTATAACTCAGCAATAACTGATAAGTTCACAAGCATTGGTTAGATATGGCACATGGATTCACGTAAGGGAATGTATATACTTTCTTAATATCTCATATCTATTCCTTTTTCTCATTCTCATCTGCCATTGCCCTAGTTTAGGATATACTGTTTTTACCTGAGCAATTGGAATAACTTCCTAATAAATCTCATCCCCATTCTTGTTTTCCCAAAATCCACCCTTCACACAATAGCTGAGGTGATCATCCTGTAATGTCTATTGGTAAAGCTATTTCTGTTTATAGTTTTTCAGTGAATTCCTATAAGCTCAATTACTATAACATGGAGCCAAAGGCACTTCATGTTCTGTTAGATACCAACTTCTGTAGTGTTGTCATTTGCCAGTTCCTCAGGTTTCTCTTCTTCAGCTACACAAAACTCTCTATTTTGGTGGAATGACTACCACTGGGAAAGCATGTCACATTTCACTACTCTTCTCTTTCTCTACCTATTTTCTGCCCCACAACTTATACAAACATTTGTTGGATAGTCAAACAAGCTCCCTAACATGTGTGTGTGTGTGCATGTACTTAAGTCATATTTCTCTTATTCCTGTCATATTTATGTGCATACTTTATATGTGTACTTTTTTCACATGTGGCACTTACCTGCATATCCCTGATTATCTCTTTACCATATTTGAAGTACCCTGAAAGCAAACATATTTTTTTCTCCAGCAGTGTTAAGTATATTACAAGATGCCAAAAAATTATTTGAAAAGAATAAAGAGTAAAACCTTACACACACACACAGACACACAAAAACACACACACAAAAAAAAACCTGAAGATTTATCACAATATATGATGATATAGTTTGGCTGTGTCCCCACCCAAATCTCATTATGAATTGTAACTCCCACAATTCCCATGTGCCATGGGAGGAACCCAGTGGGAGGTGATTGAATTATGGGGGCAGGTCTTTTCTGCACTATTCTCATGATAATGAATGAGTCTCATGAGATCTGATGGTTTTAAAATGGGAGTTTCCCTGCACAAGGTCTCTCTTTTTGCCTGCTGCCATCTATGTAAGATGTGACTTGATCCTACTTGCCTTCCACCATAATTGTGAGGCCTCCCCAGCCACATGGAACTGTAAGTCCATTAAACCTCTTTCTTTTGTAAATTGCCCAGTCTCAGGTATGTCTTTTTCAGCAAAATGAAAACAGACTAATACATGTGATATCTAAATATTTGCTGAATAAAAGTAAACAAGGTATGGTTTTACTCATCTGTCATAGAAATACATCCCTTCACACAAATGCCAACGATGCCTTTTTGAATTTATTTACCTCCTTGTTTACATAAGAGTTGATGAACTCATTAGTGACCACCTGGTAACAGTAATGTTCACAATTTATTTCACTGAAGTTGTATTTTGAATCTTTTGCATATGCAACATCTCTATTATTTCCCTGTCAGTATGCCTTTTCTTATTTCCATACAACCCAATAATAATTGTGAGAAAAACCAATCCTCCAGCTATTCAATTTCAGGTCCTAATCTAGCCTTTCCCTTCTTCTGAGTGTCCTCAATCACATAACACTAAACCTCATTTTTGACACTGTGACACATCAAGTTTTAATATATTCACATTGTTTTTGAAGACCGTGCTTAGACCCCTCAGTTAGAATAATATTTGCTCCTGGGACAACGTTCTCAGAAAGCAACTTATTTTCTCACCAAATACTCATCTGGCCAAGGATTTTTCTAGATCTATACTATCCTTCCAGATTATAGCCATTTTTATACTTCATTGTAAAATTATGTTCTTGAAGGTTCATACCATGCAGAAATGTTTTCACAATCACCTGGTGTAGCAAGGAATGCTCGTGTTTACCATTATTCATGCTTCTCCTTTGAACACACATAACCAACCTATATTTCCCAGCTTTCTGATAATTGTGTGGGGCCATTGGAGTTCCAGCCAATGGGAAATTTATGGACCTAAATTGTACTACTCCTAGGACTAGCCTCGAAAACATCTTGCTTGACCCTTCTCACTCTGTCTCTCCCCTCATCTCCCAGCCAAATGCGACAAATCCTGCAAAAAGCCAAGAGTGTGGAAGGATCTGGAGTACCTAAATCACCTTGAACACAATCTGCTACACACTCTTTTGGACTGTGATGTGAATTTAAAAAAGAGCTTTTTTGTTGTTAATGAATGAGATTTGGGTATTTTAAGAATAGCAATTGTTATCTGCTTTGATTAATACATCTTCCAAATATCAGGTGTAGTCTTACATTTCAAGGAGAATGTGACAAATGGCTCATTTTTTTCTCTGTATTTGTACAATTCCCATTACTTTTGAGTGACTTTATTGCACTCAGAATTTCTTAATATTTTCTGTAACTTATTTCTCATCATTTATCTTCAGTAAATCACTCCTGAGGTCACAAGCAGGATTTACAATCCTGTGAACTGAACTATATACTAAGTCCTTCTCTCTAATAACAAACACTTTGGTCTTTTAATCCCTCATATGTATGTTTTTCATATCATGCTTCTTGGCTTTACTTTCTTGATGAAATCCATCATCATGTTTGGCCATTTCTTGTCATTCTTATTTTCAAGGCCCCTGTTCTTCTGCCTTTCTTCTACTTTCTTCGAAACGCAACTCCAAGCTAGACCTATCTAATCACAGACATTTTCCAGCTTCTGGGCTGCTGAGCTTCCCTGGAGAAAAATCCCATAACTCTGACAAGTGGGACAGATTTATAGTTTCCAATTTTAGCTGGGGCCTCAAAATTGCTTGTCAATCCTTTTACTCAATGACTTTTGGTTTGATAGCCCTGACCTACATAATGATGTGAGCACAACTCTCCCTTCTACAGTATCTCGTGCTTATTTCTGGGCATTTCAGAGGAGTCCTTTGTACAAACCCACTTCAAATTTATGAACTGCAGTCCCCCCAGTGTATTAGCCTAGTCTCCTTCTCCTACTCCAGCCACCACTTGCCCATTCGTGCTTTGCACAGTTGCCTGTGGAAGCCTCACCACTGCCAATTGCAATCCTGAAATGCCAGCATCACTGCCAGGGATGCTGTCACCTAGAGCTGAGTACTTCACTTCCTTATAGTGTCACAATGATGTAGAGTTCACTGTCTAGACAGGTTTAAAAAAAAAGTTTCCTTTTAACTTATTATCACATGTGGTCATCTGAACAGCAAAGTTGCTGGGCTGAGGGCCAGAGACTTGCAAAGTTTTCTTATGGAATCCTGAAAAGTGTGGTCCTCATCCCTTAGTCATAGGTGCTCATTCAACAAATAATTTCCTAGTGACTATACAAGTTGATATCAAAGTAGATATTTTTAATTCTTACTTTATGTCTCCAACACACACACAGTGCAAGAGTACAACAGCTCAGTAAAAATAGTAAGTACAATAAAATGTTAAAATAGCTGTGATAAAATTTGCTGTAATATAAAATGGGGTCACAAGAACGGGAGTGAGTAATTAAATTTGAGTTGGAATCAAAAGTTTCTTAGAGGAAATGATATATGAGTAGTTTGCATTTGCCTATGAAAGTGGCTAGCTCTTTACAAAATTATTGCAAGCATCATAGTTGATGGAACAAACTTACTTTTACAAGTTCAAAAAGGTAAACTATAATGGCTTATCTATTTCCCATGTAGATGTATGTATATGTAATCATATACATATATGGAATAGAAGGCTAAAGTTTCATATTAAACATAAATTATCTTTGTCATTCTGTTCTTATCCTTACCATGCCATGGACTGGTCCTAGCACATTTATGCAGTAAGTATAATCTGACTATAGTTTTTCTAGTTCTCCCAGTGTGGCACTCTGTCTAATCTCCCCATTTTTCACCTTACTTGAAATTAAACTTTACTATTTTAATTAAAAACATTTAGAGAAAACCTATTTATGTGCAAAGTGCTGTGCTGTACGCTGTAGTTGAGAAGGAAAAAGGTGTTCGTGTTGACAGGCAAGGCTTGATCTTTGCCCTCAATGAGGGCAACACAAAGGAGAAAAACTAAAATTTTATCTGAGACAGACCTCTCCTATTTGCTTTTCCAAAAAGAAGACACTAGAGGGTTTTTTGGTAATAATTTTTTAAAGTTTTGTCTTTGCCAAAAAAATGATACTCCCTCTCTGCTTGGATAAAGTGATTGAAACTAGATATAAGTAGAAATTAATAAAACACATGAAAAACACATTGTCTGAGTAGGGGATACAGCCCTGGATTTGTTATTCACAATAAGAGCTATGTGATTTCTGCCATTTAGACCAATATTACTTCAAGTATTCCAATATAAGATAAAGCAAAATTTACCAAGAAGGGATATTAAGGAGGGCTATCAAGGAACACAATTTAGATCATTAGGAAGGGGGAACATTTTTGTTGTTTGCTTTTCAGTAATTGTTTTTTATGTTTATTTAACTTTCATTTTTTAAAGAAATGTTAACTGTTTTGTTTTACTTATAAAAGTACTTTATGGAGTACATAGTGATGTTTCAATACATAGAATGCATAGAGATCAGATTAGAGTAATTAACATCCATCATCACAAACATTTATCATTTATTTGTATTGGGAATATTCAATATCCTATATCTAACTATTATTTAAAACTATATATTATTGCTAATCATAATCCTATAGTGCTATAAAACACTAGAAATTATTCCCTGTAGCTTGCTGTAATTTTGTTGATTGTTTTTTATTAGGATAATGGGTCAGCTCTGCCTTGAGACTGCACACACAGATTGCAAGTACTTAGAGGCTATATAGCTGCTTGATTCCCATAACAGTTAGAGATTTTCAGTGTTTGTCATTAAAGTCTGTGCATTACATCTTTTAGTGAGGTCACCTTTATGGATATTGTCAAGTAAATAGAGTCACACTAAGTAACAGGAGACAAAAGAGTTTAATAAGGAGTTAGGACTTACACACATGTGGAAAGAGCAGGGGCTGTGGGGGTCATGATGGCTGTCACTGAAAGGTCAGAGAAACAGAGAAGACATCAGCCTGAAAAACAGAATAAAATGGTTTTTGAAAGTTTCTTTGGAAAAGGTCACAATTCCCAATTATCTTCATAATATCCTATACACTGTCTCAGCTTGCAGCAGGACAGCTGAAAATGGCAGGAAAATCCTGAGTAGCTGCCATGGTTGGTCACTGGGATCTCATCAAAGTATAATGATTTCTCCTTACTTCTGCTTGTCATGTCAAATATGAGGGCCATTCATTTGTAAATGCTCATCTGGATCCAATAAATAAAGAGATGTGGTACTGAGTATGGTAATAATGCAAAGTTTACTAACATTCTAACAAAAAAGAGTGGTTACTTTATATTTGCTACGCTAAGACATTGCTACCCACATTCTTTTTGTGCTAATAAATAATCTGATGATATTTTCATAATCTGAAAGGAAAAACAATAGGTATATTATGTATATTCTACTCAACAGAAATAGTTGTGGCTCTGTTCATATAAGACAAAAGAGGCTTTAAGGGGAAAAATTCTTACTGGCTCTCTATACGAAAACTACATAATGATTAAAGCTTCAATTTACTAGGAATACATAACAATTTTAAATTAGCATGCCCCTGTGACTATAACTTTATAATTTCTCTTTGAGTCAGGGTTCTCCAATTGCAAGTGACAGAAAGAATCTCTAACTTAAGCAGACAAGAAAACTTTTGGTAATATCGGTTTTGATGAGCTCACAATGTTGAGAGAGAATATATTAAATTTTGCATAATGTCTTACAAGCTGACTAATTTAAAATTTAGAAAACAATAAAAGATATTGCTTTCTTTATTTCCTAATATAATCTAATATACTGATGGTGATATATTGAAATCTGCAATGTATCTAATGATTTTCATCAGCTTATCACATTTAAATAATGTCAAAACATTTTTACCGGACTGGTAACAGGGCGAAAATATATTGATTCTATCACTAATTACAATATGTTAAGAATTTATTTGTTTTTCTTTAAAATCATAATATATTATCATTTCTAATTCTTAAATATAGTAGATAGGCAGGGCATGGTGGCTCACAACTGTAAGCCCAGCACTTTGGGGGCCTGAGGTGGGCAGATCACCTGAGATCAGGAGTTTGAGACCTGCCTAGACAACATGGTGAAACCCCGTCTCTACTAAAAATACAAAAATTAGCCAGGCGTGGTGGGATGCACCTGTATTCCCAGCTACTCTGGAGGCTGAGGCAGAAGAATCCCTTGAACCTGAGAGGCGGAGGTTACAGTGAGCCAAGATTGCACCACTGCACTCCAGATGAAATGACAGAGCAAGACTCTGTCTCAAAAAAAAGGATATATATATACATATAAGTATATGTGTGTATATATATATACACTATATGTGTATACTATATATATTATAAGTATGTATATACTATGTATATGTATATACTGTATATACTATATATACTATAAGTATATATATACAATAAGTGTATATATGTATATATATACTATAAAAAGTATATATTATATATATTAAAGTTTTACTTTTGAATAAAAGAAATAATCTACAAGGCACAATTCAACAATGCTTTTATAATATATTTATTGTTTATGTATGTATGTGCATATGCCTGAGTGACCACATTTGTTTGTCTGTGTGCATGCACACACACACATGAAATATACTTTGTTCAAGTTGATAACTAATCATGTGGATAGGAATTCTGTTTTCACATCAATCTAATTTTCTTATTAAATACCATTATTTTCTCCTCCTGGGCCAAGTACAATGTTTTAAACTAGTAAAATGTCTTATTTTTAGTATTGTCAATACTCCCAGTGGTAGAGCAGTGTCGCTTTCTTAAAATATTTCTACCTTCTGGGCAACAGAATTTTTTTTCAGCACTAAATAAGACAAAATCAGTTTTGTAGCTGCTACCTGTTTTATTGTGTGTAGGCCTGTGTTAAGATACTTCATAAACTGTCAAATCCAGATTGGCACTGGAAACACTGTAACGCTTGATATTTGATGAGAAGCTGTCAACTTGCCTCTCCCTGTCAAATTGCCAGATGCTTCTTCATGACCAGTTTAGGCTAAGAGATTACTGGTAGTCAGAGCTCCATACACAAAGATCTTAATGCTATATGATTTGTGAGAGGAGTGGGGTAGAAAAGGTGTGAGACAAGTTATACGTTGTTGGAAAATGGAATTTAATATGCTTAATTATTAAGTTTGTTTTTAGGAACTTGTAGATGAATCAATAATTCAGAAATTACATTGAGAATTAAGCATGAAAAGGCATGGTAAAAATCCCTCTGAGTAATCATATCCATAAAAACAAATAGTCTTTGAACCTTAGGCTATAGCTTTAAGGGAAGTTATTATTCTGTTATTTGCTAGGATAATATTTTATCTCAGTATTTCTTGTTTCTAATTTAATTTATGTTTCACTAAATACCCAGCTAGATATATATGTGGGTGTGTGTAGCTAGACACAGAAAGGAATTGACAGAACACTTTGGCTCTATTTTCAGTGCTATAAAAAGATAAAAGGCAGGGTGCAATGGCTCAAGTCTGTAATCCCAGCACTCTGGGAAGTGGGTGGGTCACTTGAGGCCAGGAGTTCGAGACCAGTCTGGCCGACATGGCAAAACCCTGTCTTTATTAAAAATACAAAAATTATCTGGGTGTGGTGGTATACACCTGTGGTCCCATACACCTGTGGTCCCAGCTACTCAAGTGGCTGAGGCAGGAGAATTGCTTGAACCTGGGAGGCAGAGGTTGCAGTGAGCCGAGATTGCCCCACTGCACTCCAGCCTAGATGATAGGGCAAAACCCTGTCTGGAAAAAATAATAATAATAAAAATAAAAAAGAGATAAAAAAATAACAATAAACCTCATTCTATGTGGTCATGTGTTACTTGGAAAATTATATAGTTACTTAAAAAATTGAGGAATTTACGTAAATGTTTGAAGCTTCCCACTCTGCCCCTAATAAAACAAAACACAAATGGAAGGCACAATATTCCATTATTCCCAATCAGGAAGCCCAAGGGATTAGATACTCCTTCCCTGAACTGGTTAAAAGCTGGGACACAACAAAGTGCTCCTATTCTGAACCTCTTAACATTAAACAAGTAATTCAAAGGTAAATACTGAAGTATATAATTTGTTCACCAGGACAAATTTAGTGAAAGTCTTGGGGGCATTTGATGGCCACAACACCTGTGTCCAGCAGCACTGTGGGTGCCAGCTATGCCCACTGTGGCACTATAACCTGATTACATCCTAGTTTCAGATCTTAACGTCTAGAATTCTCATCTATTCTCTAGTAGTCCTGCTTCTCTCTCAACATTGTGAGCTAATCAATACAGATATTACCAAAAATTTTCTTGTCTACTTAAGTTAGAGATTCTTTCTGTCACTTGCAATTGGAGAACCCTGACTCAAAGACAGATTATAAAGCTATAGTCACAGGGGCATGCTAATTTAAAATTGTTATGTATTTCTAGTAAATTGAAGCTTTAATCATTATATAGTTTTCATATAGAGAGACAGTATAAATTTTTTTCCTTAAACTCTTTTTTGCCTTATATAAACAGAGCCACAACTTATTTCTATTGAGTAGAATATACATAATATACTTCTTGTTTTTCCTTTGGAGTTCAACATTTTGGTTTCTTATATTTACATGTGTTTCTTGAAAACCATATATAGCTGGAGCATTTAGACCATTTAGATTTAAACTGATTACTGATGTTTTCTTTTATTTATAGCTTTAATTTTTGCTTTCAATTGGTTGTTCTTGTTTTATTTTTATGTTTCTATCTTTTCCTTTTTTGAGTATTTGAATATTTTTTAAATTCCATCTTTAGTTTTCCTTCTAAATGAATAATTGCCTTTAGAATTATTTAGTAAAGTTCTGCTTTAGACAGACTCTGAAAAATCTCTTCTATATACCCATCCTTAATATTTTTATAGCCCATGCAAAAGCACACCTTGAAGTTTCCTGTAGAGTCTTTCAAAGTGACTTGAGCCTATTGCTGCACAGAATTCTGGGATTCTAGCTCTATGGACTATAACAGGAGACAATAGGTCATGGGCACTGATGGGCATACCTCAAAGGCCCTATGGATTTTCAGACTTGTCAGGGAGACACTAGAGAAGAGCCCAGGAAGAGACCCTGAAGCCAGGGGATTGGGGCTGGAGCTGCACTTCCCTTAGAGTGACCTAATAGTAGCACTATGTTTCCATTACAAATATTTTTACCATATGTAGATTCTCACATTGACAATTCTCTCAGCATGCAGATTTACATTACACAGCCTTCTTGCCTCCATTATCCCTGCTGAGAATCATCTCTCCTCTCAGACTGTCCATTTTCTGTTCTTAATTTCTCCCTTTGCTCTATAAATTGTTAAGACTTTCTCTTTGCATTTAATTTCCTGACTAGTTTTTATATTACTGGACAAATGTCTACATGTCCAGTTTCAGATTGATTGTGTTTCAGATTTATTTGATTGGTTGAATATGAGGATTGGTGGCGTTTGACACTTCTGGAATCTTCCAGTTATCTTTTAAAATATGGCATTTGCCCCATTTTCTCTCCTCCCTCTCTGAAATCCCAAACACCTATCAGACATTTTCATTCTATCCTTGATCTTTCCTGTTTCCTTGTGCTCTTATGGCATTTTTTTTTCTGACAGATCTATTGTATTGAAGATCTTTTTAAATCTTCTTAATTTGCTCTTTGACTAGTTCATTGAGTTTTACATTTTTCTAGTTGTATATTTTTTTCTTGAATTTCTATTTTTTATCCAAGTCTGCTAGGTGACATTTTAGTTTCCTGAAGATACATTCAAGTTTGTGGTCTTTCTTTTAATATACTAGTTACTAGTTTTAAATTTTCTAGTTACATTTAGAATAAGAAATATTTAATATTAGTAATATATAAAGTTTTTTGTCATTCACCATATCTTCATAATACATGTTATCTTTGTATCACAGAACAGATGCATTGTATCACAGAGAAGAAATTTCCAATGAATAGAAAATATTGGTTTTATTGCTTTACTTAGGTCATTCATAGGAATGCTTCTCAGAAATTTGAAAGACTCTTTCCTAGGCCTTTTCAAAATTTTCTGTAAAGAAAATGTCTGTCATTAGAGATAGGTCTTTTAATTTTTCCCTCTCCATATTCATTCTTCGAAATTTGACCTTACAACTTGACTTCAATTATTGTTTATATTTTGATGACTTTCCAAAATATATGTATCCATCTGAGTTCTTCCTTAAGGCCTGTATATGCTATTATCATTGATAAATATCATTGTGGTGTTTTTGTTGTTTTAAAAGCATTTCAATTTTATTTATTTATTTTTTAGACTTTTAAGTTCAGGGGTACATGTGCAGGTTAGTTACATAGGTAAACTTGTGTCATAGGGGTTTGCTGTACAGACTATCTCATCACCCAGATATTAATCCTAGTGCCCATTGGTTATTTTTCCTGATCATTTTCCTCCTTCCACCCTTCACCCTCCAAAAGGTCTCGGTGTGTGTTGTTCCCCTCTAGGTATCCATGTGTTCTCATAATTTAGCTCCCAATTTTAATTAAGAACATGTGGTATTTGGTTTTCTGTTCCTGCATTATTTTGCTAAGGATAATGACCTCCAGCTCCATCCATGTCCCTGCAAAGGACATAATCTCTTTCTATTTTATGGCTGCATAGTATTTCTTGGTGTATATGTACCACATTTTTTTTATTCAGTCTATCATTGATGGACATTTAGGTAGATTTTATGTCTTTGCTATTGTAAATAGTGTTGCAATGAACATACACATGCATGTGTCTTTATACTAGAATAATTTATATTCCTTTGGGGATATATCCAGTTATAGGATGGCTGGGTCAAATGGTATTTCTGCAAAAACTCAATTGATTTGAGTTCACAATTTTTCTTCCCCTGTATTCTCTTCTCAGAAACAGTACCATATGCTGCTAATTTGCTCATAGCTGAGTTGGTAAGTCATAAATCCATAACACCCATTTATCTCACTGTTCATATCCAGAAGCAACAAATTCTATTGAGACTAACACTAATCATAATTTTTGCACCTATACTCTTCATTCTTCTTCTTGTTACCTCAGTGTGGATTACAATAATTTTTCCTGCATTGTTATATGAAATAGAGTTTGAATAGACTAATTTTCTCTGACTCCTTCCAATAGATTCTCCATGCCACTACAAATATTTTTTAATAAAAATTATCATGTCATTCTCCTGGCAAAATATTTCACTGAATACTTACTGATCTTAGATGAAGTGCAAACTTTTTAGTATGTTATTCAAGGTCGTTCTTTCCTCCCTCACTTGTTCTCTATATCCTAACAATATTTCATGCCCAAACCCATGTCCTCCCTCAATTTTTGGTCTGTATGTGTGCACTTCTCCATCTAGACAATGTGCATCCATCGTTTAAACTTTCTAACCCCTAATTCTCCCACTGTTATTACAGTTGTCAGTTGTTTGAGGAAGATTTCCTTAAACCAATAAGGCTAGACTGATTTCCCTCATAGAATGAATAATACAACTAATAATAGAATGAAAAATCCAACCAATAATCCTATTGCTTAGCCTAGTGCGTTATATATGCTTCATAATTAGTCTTTTTCCTTCCCCAGGCCATAAACACAGTGAGAGGAGGAACTGCCATTTTCCCTTTTAGCTGCGGACCTAAACATAGTGCTGGAAACAGTAGGCATTTAATTACCATTTGCTGAATGGAGAGTTGAATAAACCTTTAATTTGCAGTATAATTAATAAAATGTATGATATGTGATTTTAAACATTACCATACTAGATGTAATGAAATGTAATGCATATAATGAAGCATAAGATTCTTGTACTTAAGTAGTTTATAGTCTATTTCGCCATAAATGATTAAAACCCCTTAAAGATAATAAACAATAAGCTGTTTACTGTTGCCAATAGATATTGCAGAGAATAATTTACATAGGTGATCATTGGAGCCATTTACTCTAATAATTCTCAGAAATTCTATCACACCGCTCTCCTTCTAAACCACCATTTCTTGCCTGTAAATAATGCCATTTCTATGATAAATAAGAATAGACTTATCCAACTTGAAAAATAAACAGGCATTTTAAAAATAAACATATTTAGCCTATAACATTTTCAGTTTCAGTCATATGTTTACAGTTTAGTGAGGGAGATAGTGTTCAAAATATACAATTTAAAACAAGACAGAGTAATTTAGAGTAATTGCAAGAATGGGCATAATTATAACATAGTAGCAGAGGCCAGGTCTAGCTTGAAGAACTATGATATGTTTTGATATATTTGGAAAAATTGATGATCTTATAATAATGTATAGAATCTGATAAATAACAAATATATTTCTAATTGTCCAATACTGCCATTTGAATTTAGTGGGGATTTTGGAGATCTTCAAGCATATAAAATGTCTAATGACTTTATTATATATTTTGGAGTTGATAAAACAGATTTTAGAGAAAACTAGTGAAAATGGGAGACAATTAAATGTTAATATTGGAGAATAATTTTATTTCATAAATCTTTACATGTAGATTAATTTCAGCAAAACCTTATATAGCAGTCAGGATTTGCTATGTGCTCTTTTCTTTCAATAGTTTTAAATATAGTGGGGAAAAATAAAAAATAAGGAAATCTTAATAACTTCAAGAAATTAAGGTTAGTCTCATAATCAACAGGCAATTAAAGTTTAGAAATGAAAATATTCTGCAAATGAAAAACATGCATTTCGTAACCCCAATATAAATACAGCGAAAAATTTCTTTTTTAAGAGTATTCTAATTAGGTAAATGTATTTAAGCAAAGGTGCATGAGAATAACCAAAAAGACACCACTCTGCCACTATTATTGAAACTAGAGCAATTTGTTTAAATGATTTCAGGGTCAATATTGAGGTTGCTCTTTTATGTAAAACAATTCCCAACACATAGCAACTATCTTTCTTTTTAGAATAATGTAGAATACATTATTAGGCCACTAATGTCAACATTCAGAAAATAAAGACATGGGTAACGCCATTCTCCATGTCGGTAGGCAGTGAGAAAGCCAATGATTTTCTTCTTAACAACCCTGAAAACAGATGTGAATAAATAGTATTTCCCCAGAAAGCAAAATCATGTCTAAGAACTTCACAAGAAACATGTTACTGGCCAGCAGTGCTGCACATTTAAAATGCTGCTGAGTAAGTTGGAGGTCATCCTGATAACATTGCCTGGTAAAGAACAAGTTGGCACTTTGCTATAGATTTCCCTGCCAGAACCTATTCCTGTTTTACACCTTCATTTGACCCAGGATGGGTTATTGTATCCAAGATCTAAAACTAGGATCAAATATATTTCTTTAATAATGTTACCTTCCAAACAGGGACTCAGATGAAGGACCTATTGAAGGGCTTGGTTACTCACGTAAGTACCGTCACGCAGAAAGATAACGAGTAATATACTTAAGAGATGTTCCCATCAGGGCACCTTGGATTAATTCAGACAGTTGTCACAGAATGTCATACAAAACATGTTGTCAATCAAACTTAAAGTTTTTTAAGAGTACCTATATATTGATAAATTAAACTTTTGTTTATATTCTTCAAAATGGTTTCCATGTGATAGATCATACTGAATTGTGTTTATTATAATTTATTTAGTGGATTGTTTTCTCTAAGCCTCATCAACCACATTAATCTCATAGGAATTTCATTAGTATTTAACTCCAACAGGTGTAACTTTAGGAGTTACCAATTTTTTTGAGTTTCTTCCTCCCTCTAGTATCCAATATCACATGCCCTCCCAAGTGGGTCCCAGCAGTTCTTCCCACTACTATTCCCACTTCACTGCAGGTCACTTGGTGTTCCCCTTGAGTGAATGAAGGCTGTGCCATTACCACCACCTTCACCCAGACCATGAGCTTCTCTGGGTAGGTGGCGAGCTCTGGCTAATCTGCTGCCCTCAGCGCTGCCATTCATGTCCTAATGGCTGCTGGGGACTCACACTATGCCAATGGTGAGCACATGAACTGCTGTCTTCTGAACAGCTACTCAAGGATCTGATGAAGTCAGGATGTGTGTTACTTGTGCCAGAGCTGCTCACTTTGCACTCTCTTTGGACCTTTTACAGAGGCCAATGCATGCTCTATCAACATATTTGTCTTTCCAAGGTTACTTGACTCTGCTCTTCTAAGTAGCTTCTCAATATTGCACTATGGCTGTTTACAGTCAAAATTGTGTCATTGGCCATTGGACTACGAATTGTCACTTGTCATGTTACTTATCACTGTGTCCCCAGTGTTTATCACCAGGTCTGGGATATACTAATCAATCAATAAATATTTAAGGAATTGAACATAATTTGCTTTGTCTGCTGAGACTTTTAAAGGTGGTCAATGTCTCTCAGCCTTTATGGGATACTCTTTTACAGAGATATCAGAGTTGAAGTGTTTAGACCCAGAGAGCTTATTAGGACGGTCCCTTCACTTTACATAAAGCTTTGTTATTACCAGGATTGGAAATATATATTTTACCTGGAGCGACGGCTCCTTGTGACCCGAATGCACTGGTACTGGTTACCTAAGAAACCTTCCCAGAGGTGCACTACAGCCTTCCCTTACCATGATATTGTTATTTTTCAGACCCCTTTCTCCTTCTCTCCACCAATCCACATGATTTTATCAGGCATATTGTGGATATTTGAAGCTCAGCTATGCATAAATTTTGGGTTGTTTTATTTGAGTATTCTATTATGTATGTATGAGATAAAGGTATGACGACTTTCAATCTCTTTGCAAATATTAAAAATCACATTAAAATATTTGTTTTTGTTAACACACAGTAATACTAAAACTTCAGCCTCCAAAATGTAGTGAAGTCAAACATTTTAAGCAGTATTAAAGAATCTTAAAATCCTTTCAAAAGTTTTACCATGGATTTGCATTATTGGCATGGATAATTAAATTGATTAAAAACATCATCAGATTTCTTAAACTGTCATTAGTTCTGTTTAGTCCCATGGTAATGGTAATTAAAGTGGAAAGATAGAAACTTCAATTAGAAAGAAAAGCTCAGGGCTCCTGTTTTCTCAAGATCTAATGAACACCTGGTGCCTCTGTAATCTATTAAAGCATTGGAATTTTTTGAAAAGTAGAGATGGAGGAAAAAAAACATCAGGAAGATTTCTTTGTTCAAAAATCCTTCAAATATCTATTGTATGCAGATGTCCCAAAGGCTGTGGGAAAATGTGCCAACTCAAGATTTATTTCATATAATTAAAAAAAATGTTTTTTTCAAATTAGGAAATCATGTCTTATACCCATTTCTTCAGTGGGCTCATGCAATGTGGCCTGGATCTTGCAGTTATTCTCCCTCTCCTTTGTGTCATCTCATCTCTTTTTCAGTATGCAAATATATAAATATTCTCTATTATCTTCCATTCTAAGAACAGTCACAACAACAAAACAAACTCTTTTAACTCCATGCTTAACTTTGTTTAGTACATAAGAGAATTCATTACTCTTTTCCATTTTTCGGCTACATTTTCACAGAGACATTTGTTGAGAAAGTATTCATAATATCATACAGCATATCCTAGCCTCCTATTTTTTCCTCAATTCATTCCAACAGGACTTTCATCCCTAACACTCCACTGAAACTGAGCTCACCGTCTCTCCAGTGACCTACCTGTTTTTCAGTCCAGCCATTCAAAATTTCTAATCAAGGAATTTGAACTCTCAATAGTAGCGGGCAGCATTTATATCTTCATGCTCATAGTGGGCAGCATTTATATCTTCAGGCTCATAATACACTTTCTTGTGGGTTCTGTGACACTGTTTACCTTTGTGTTTTGCCTACCTCACCAGCTGTCACCTAGGTTTGGGTTCTGTGAGACCCATATACATTTAGTCTTGGTTTTTCTCCTACTACATCAGCCATTACTGAGTTTCCCTTGTTGGCTCTTATTCTACTCCTTCATTTCTATCTGTAGGAATGTTTCAAGGCTAAGCAGTGGACTTTCTTCTTCTCCCTAGGTATACCCTCTCTTTAGATTACTTTGTTCAATGCCCCTACTTAAATATTGCATTTATACTGATGACTCCCAAATTTATGTCCTTAGCTTTGACCACACCCCTGAGCTCTAAGTGTATATTAGGATGTCTAAAAGACATGACAGATACTACTGACCATAAAAATTCCCTATTTCCATTCCCACCAAGAAGCATGTCCGTCTCTCAATCTCCTGTGCCTTTTCAAATAGCATCATTCCCCTTGTTCTTCAGCATTACAAAAGTGCCATTAAGGATGTGGAACAACTGGTATATATTTAATTCATGTGTAACATTCAAAATGGCATTCTGATTCATATAATGAAGATTATAATAGTAGCTTCATATTTAGAAGACATATTAACTTAATTCTTAGAAAAAGCACTCAAGTTTCAAAGAAATTGACAAAGCACAAATGTCATTAGGATGCCACACATGACATGCAGCCATTTCTAAATAAAAACCTGGTGTAGTCTGCCCCCAAATCATAAAGTAAATAATCAGTCGACACATTTTTATTGAGTGCTTCCACTGGACTAGACTTGTGCTTCATGATATTTTTACCTTAGTGATTTAAAAAGGCATGACTTCAGCCCTCAAGTGGACACAGGAGATAGGCAATAAACAAGTAATAAATTAACAATTACTACTTAAAATCGGGAAAGGGTGATAGATTTAAGGAAAGTCAATATTTAATATGTGAAGGAAAGCTTCTCTAAGTTTTTTTCTGCTTGTTTCAGCTGAGTTCAACAAATTCTGAGAAAGTATGATCCATAGACATTGTGCAAGGTAATGAGAATGTAATGATGTATAATGCATATTATCTGACACCAAGAGGATAATAGTCTACTATCCATAAGTATTAAAGTGATGGTTGATGCTTTTTGATTTTCCTAAATAAATGCTTAATTCACTTACTGTGAAATCTAATTTTGAATATCAGAATTTAATTTTTATTCTTACTGTAATTTACCTAGACCATGGTTTCAAATATGTTAAATATAACACCTACTTTGGAATTAATATATATCAAAAATTTTTATATGATGTCTTTTTTCTATAATTATGTAAGAAAAGTAGTCCATAGTTACTATGAATTTTATAACTCTTTAAAATAAGTGTTTACTCAGAACATAATTTATGTACATTTTAATTATAGTCCTATATACTGTAATGTACATTATTTAGTCTTTGAGAATTCATACATTTGGAAAATAGATTCACTATACTTGAATTTTCTATTGCCTCCTACCTGGACATGAGAGAAAAATCAATGTCATACATTTGTACAATGTGTGAAAATCTACAGGGGAGGAAGAGACTAATAGATGTGGCACAGAGGAATTTTAGGGTAAATGACTCTGAATGATACAGTAATAGTAGTTACATGTCATTATACACCTGTGAAAATCCATAGAATACAATACATGTGAACCCTAGTGTAAACTATAGACACTGGTTGATAATGATGTGTAAATATAGGTTCACCAATCACAATAAATGTACCACTCTGAGGTGGAATATTGATAGTGAGGAAAGCGGTGTATGCGTGAGGTCGGGTATGTGTGAGGTATGAGAACTCTCTGTATTTTGCAGTCAGTCTTGCTGTGAACTTAACACTACCCTAAAAACAAAATCCATTAAAATGAAACAAATATGTAGGGGGAAAACCTATAAATGTGTGTACATATGTGGATATGTATATATTTATGCATAAACAGAGACACACATAACTGTTAAATTGTATATTAAGACTATATACACATATGTGGTATAAACATATCAACATGTTTGTATAAACACACACTCACAAAGAAACTTTATGACACTGTATCTGTATATATTATTAATCCTCATGGCAGCTTTTTGAGATACATACCTTTGTCACTTTAATGGCATATAATCCAAGACAGAATGTTGACATTCTCTGCCAAAGTTCACTTAGCTCTAAGGGCCACAGCAGGGGTTTGCCCCGATCTCTATTGTTAACCATTATTTGTAATCACCTTATTACCTTCCTCTGCTGAATTTGTGTCATTATACTTGAAAACATCTTTTTAAAATTGTCTTAAAGCTTACAAGTTATATTTCAATATTTGTGTTGAGGACTCTGGCAACCTTGTATTTAACTGGCTGTTTTTATTTGAGGATTGAGTTAAGAGGACAGCTGCTTTTCTGTAGTTAAAGCAATAAGGGCATGAAGAGAATGAGATATTAAATTTATTTTGGGATGTAAATATTTTTCAGTGTGTGATGGCTTACGAGAAATCCCACATGGGCGCTAGTAAATGATCTATATTTTTGCAAACTTTCCTCAAGCCATGAGATTCTGCAATGCTGACATGATTTGATTTGGTGAATGATGCGGGTGGTGTTGAAATTGAGCCTTTTCTTACATTTACCTTAAGGAGTTAACTTGCCCTTTGTTTAAAATTGAAATTTTTCCTGATTCAGTGAGTAACCACATCCCTTAACAGTGACACTCCTAGGCTGGCTAGAAGATACACACATCATTACTGTGAATTTAGTTTAACCATTTTCATTTTTAAATTAACATGAACCTTTAACCACCTATCACAACCCACTGTCTTTTCCTCATCTATGTAAGTGTCTACTGGAATGGTCAGTTTACACATTAATGTATTTTTTTAGATTTTAAAATGAAAAATTTAGCTGACATAATGCTGCAACACAAAATGCAAGGTCACCTGTCAAGAAAAAGGAAAACCCAGGTAAATAATCTCATGAGCAGAATTCTTAATGTTTGGCTTATTCCACATTTATTTAATACTTAAAACTGCCAGAGTGGGTGCAGGTCCTAAAAAGAACTCGGTAATAGGGATTTAGATAGAAAATTTTGACAGTTACATGACTGTATAAGAATGTTCCAATTCAATGTTTTAGAAATGTATAATTTTTGCATGAAGGATGTATGAGGTTTTTTTCTACATAAATTGGAGTAATTGGCAGGTACCACTCTGTCTTATTTAGTGCGGGTAGTTTCTCACGAAAGGTAGATTTGATTGAAAGATGGCAGTGAACAAATTTTTTTTCTCTATTTCCATAGAAATTCCTACCAGTTTTTAACTGATTAACCTGTTTTTGATAGTTAATCAGTTACTTGAACTTTCACAGAGTTAACTAATGCCTGCTTTAATGCCTTAAATCATAATAAAAATTTGTTTCCATGTGGTCCATCTTGACACAGACCAAATCATCACACTGAGATTTATCATAACATAATGAAGCCTAAAACTTGTTTGTCCCTTACAAGATATGTAAGTTGCATGACACATTCATACTATTTGTTTTTTTAAAACTGGGATACACTGTTAACTAAATGCTACTGAATTCTCTGGTCAGATAGTTTGGTGTTAGTAAGAAGTAATTACCTGGCCGGGCACGGTGGCTCACGCCTGTAATCCCAGCACTTTCGGAGGCCAAGGCAGGCGAATCACTAGGTCAAGAGATTGAGACCATCCAGGCCAACATGGTGAAACCCAGTCTCTACTAAAAACACAACAATTAGCCTGGCATGGTGGCGCGTGCCTGTAGTCCCAGCTACGTGGGAGGCTGAGGCAGGAGAATCGTTTGAACCCAGGAGGCGGAGGTTGCAGTGAACCAAGATCACGCCACTGCACTCCAGCCTGGTGAGAGAGTGAGACTCCATCTCAAAAAAAAAAAAATAAAAATAAAAATAAAAGTAATTACCTCTGTATACTCAACAACGCTGTCTATTTTGTCCAGATTACAAAGGTCTGCTCTCCCATTGGAGGGCATTCTCTGCCATAGTGCAAAGGCCCAAGTACTAGCCTATTTCATATGCCACGTTCTCAAACACGGCTTTCCACAAGAACTTCCTCTAAGCAACTGTTCCAATATGACAAGTCCTGCATAAAGCATTGGTAAAAAGTATTTTGTTACTCTATACAAATTATTCTCACTTAGTCTAGTTAAGTGAAAACTTAATCTTTACCTTTATTTTTCCAACTTAAAGGAATATCAGAATATTTTGTCTTCAAGCAAGCTTTAAATTATTAATTTAATAACTCTAATCTTCTTGAATCTATTCCAAGTTAATACAGTATTGGTTATGCATAATTCTGCTAACCGATCAACAAATATTGATGAAAGATAGATGAAAAAGTATTTTATGTTTTTTTCTAATTAAAATCAATGGAGAATTATACTTATCAGTAAGAGAATAATAAGTCCTAAAACTTTTTTGTCCCTTAAAAGATATATAGGTTGCATGACACATTGATACTATTTGTTTAAAAACAAATGGTATACACTGTTAATTAAATGCTAGCAGAATCATTTTTCAAAAATAAACATATACTTTGACCCCATGCTGGAAAAACCTATACTTGTAGACTTATTTAAAATATAAGGCTAAACTTTGAAGGCAATAAATCAGAAAATCTTTAAATATAAATATTAGATACACCTTTATGATTTCTGCAGTTTTGGTGTTGGGAGGGGCAGATAATCAGCTATTTGAGCCTTCACAGGGTTACTTAATGCCTGCTTTAATAACTCAAATCATAATGAAAATTTATGTTTCCATGTGGTCCATTTTGACACAGACCAAATCATCACACTGAGATATATCATGGCATGAATGTTTTGAGAATAAATTTTTAAAAATACCTAATTTGTATTGAGCTAAATTTCATTTGTAATGTTGCTTTCATAATTTATTTGGCATTTATTTTCTGACGATATTTATTGAGTAGGAATACCATTGTGAGTAGTTGAGATGTAGCCAGCATCTTTCCCTTTATTCTTCTCAATAACCTTGCTTCCTCTTGTGAACTAATATCTTACACACACACACACACAAAACAGGCTTTGCCTTTTTACATGGGTGAAGCATGAAACCTGACTTACATCCATCAGCCCAGTATACTCCTTTATCAAATGACTTTACTAAAGGTAACTCCCATTGTCTTGGGAATTTTAGAAATTAGTTTTTTTCTCTTTCTCTCCATCACAGGGTTAAAGAAACAAAGCCTAGAATAGCTTTCATTATTTGCTGCCATGAAGAACATAAAGCTAAGGGGTTAGAGCCAAGAAAAATCCTAGGGAAACTGATCTAAATCCTAATCACATCTATTGCTAAGCCAAATTTAACTCTTGGCATTGTTAATCATGTAACATAATAATTTTTCTGTAATTTATTTTTCCAGTTTGAGTCAGATCTGCACTTATTTGTAAAGAAGTATACAATATATAGGGCATTTCTTACCAGGAGTGGGGTTACAGGTAATGGGCTAGAATGGTTTTAAAAAAAGAACTCTCTGTCATACGAGAAGGTAAAAATCTTTGTTTTTCAGTTGCATAAAGTTGGTTTACTTTGGACCTTACAACATGTGCTACCAATATTACAGTATTCAGTAACTGAAAACAAAAATAGGTAAGATGATGGATTCTATATTTAAAAAATGAAATCTTGCTTTGATATTTACTTCTGAAAGCAGACAGAAAGGAATGTTTTACCAAGAGTGGCTCTTCTGTCTGTGATCTGTAATAAAAGCATTAAACTTGATTTTGAGGGCCCTCCATGCTTGGGAGAGTTGAATTACTTAAACCAAAGAGAGGGCTGGCTATAAAATATTTAGAGATGAGAGACATAGTAGGAGAAAATATAACGGAATAGGAAATATATGGCCTTCCCCTAGCATATTTGTAAAGTACTGTCTTACTGAAAAATTATATAAACACATTATGGAAATAAAACTGAAATAAGGATTGAGAGGCAATACGTATAAATACTCACCCACTAATTCCCATTGTTTCCATTGGCTTCTGCAAAGATACAGATTATACATACATGTGTATGTAAATAATCTTCAAAATATGTCTTATACAGATAAATGTTCCCCAATTAAAGATGAAGACAAATAATCACAACATTATTTTTCAAAAGCCTTTCATGTGACTATCTGATTTTCAACTTATTGAAGGTTGATGCATAACATGCTTTCCAAATGTAATTAGCTGACTTTTTTTATACACATGCCAAGTATTATTTTTCAACCTGGTATACAAACAATATTTTTCTAAGATGCTGTGGTTACTGATCTTACAAGGCCTCATTAGGAATCATTTTTAATAAACATTTTTAAAAAAGACTAAGTTCAATGTCCTTTTTAAAGTAATATTTAATTTCATGAATTCCCATTTACAAGTGGAATGGACAGGAATGATTTTAATATTTTTATATTAATTAATGATATTTTGATGCAATATATATGGCAGCAAACCTCCATATGTGTTACCCATTAGTACTGTGTTTTTTTAAATGGGGATGAAGCACTAATAATCACTACCTGTAAAATAAAGAACATTTATTATTTTGGTGAGTCTAGCAATCTTTTCTGAGTTGTAAGTTCTTAAAAAATAAATTCTAACAATTACAGAATACTGATTTGACTTCCACCTTTTTCGTACTTTTATTTTACCCCAAAGCAAGCATTAAACACATAATCTTGCTAGGAGAGACCATCTTGTTAGTATTATGAAACACTGGTGGGAGTAAGAACCAGTATCATTGATATGCAAAATTGTGCAGTTATCTCTGCAAATCATTAGGAAAATGTTGAAAGGTTAAAAATCAAAACAAAATATAGTGGTGATCCCCAAAACTATTTTGACATTATTTTGACGATGAGTAATTTAGTCTCAACCAAAATCTTTTTTTCCCATTCATAATAATCCTCCTCCCCTCAAATGTCTTTAAAAAATACATGAAACAGTTCAATAACAAAAACCGAAGAGCACGAACTATTTTCAAAAACAGAAAAATCTCTAGTGCAGAAAGAAACCTCAAAGAGCAGATTCCTTTGCAGACATTAATCAATGCGCTTGCAAAGATTATGAAGATTTCTCTTTCCTCTTTGGCGGACAGTCTACTCTATTTGAAGTTTCCACTCCCACTCCGTTTTCTGTTCTTTTTTTAGAAGATCTCGACCGTTTCTTTTTCATACATGAGGCCTGAATATTAGAATCTTCTACCCACCTCTGAAGCCAGAGAGTAATTAAGTTCCATGTTACGTAGGCTTGGATCGTGCAACTGGACGACAGAACAGCAATTTTAGCTGCCAACACATTTACATTTCCAGTAAGGGCATCAGGATTCCGATTCTGCGATCCAGCCAGGTGAAACCCAACAGTGAGTACGGAAACAATTAAAGTCACAAGTCTACCCAAGATAAACACAATGGCCCACAGAGATATGCCTTTCTGGTACTTTTCATCACTAAAGTAAAACAGGCCGCACATGTGGGAAAGTAATTCAACAAAATAATGCAGTACCAAAAGAAGAAGTCCCAAATGATTCAAGTACAAGAGATAAGCTCCAGTAATGTGGAAGAGGTGAAGACCAATGTAGACAAGTTGACGAGGGATGTCTTGTTTTTTGGTTTTCTGGAAGTAGAGTTCAGGAAAAGCATGAAACCAGTAAGCCAACTGGGATATGTAGAAAAACTTCATTTGAAATGTCATCATGCTATGGGGACGAGCCTTCCATATAAGAGTTGGGTCTGACAGGCAGTTTTCAGAGATTAAAATGAATGTGCCCCAAATACAAGAAAAAAAGTAGAACACACTAAACTGACCAGACTCGTTAAACTTGTTTTGTTTCGCTTTGGTGAACTGCATTCTCTTGTTAATTTTATCCAACACATATTCCTGAATTGTGGCATGAATAATGATTGCCACCAGCATGTAGAAGAAAACCGTGGCCAAATCTTTGACACCATAATAATAGAGGGACTTTGAGCCCGTGGCTTGTTCCTCTGCTGCAGGGACAGCAACACTGTGCTGAAGAGTGAGAAACACGATGGATGCTTCTGCTGTTCCCTCGAACACAAGCCCCAGCAGGAAGAACATCCCCACGCAGGAGACGATGTCCGCATGATTCTGCAGGATGAATTCCTGGCTGAGAACGGGGGGGTTCTTGGTGCTCTTCTTACGGAGCCCCATGGTGGCGCTTCCCGGATACTCACCGGCGAGCCGCAGCTGCCTCCCCCTGGCTGCTCCTCACAGCGCCGCCGCCACGGTAGCAGCTCCGGGGGCTCCACTTCCCATCCCGAAGTCAGTCCCGGGTCGCAGCGGCCGCCCAGAAAAAAAATAAATCAAAGGCGAGGGCCGAGCTGAGCTGAGCATGCGCACCAGGGGGACGGCGGAGGCAGGGAAGGAAATCGAGCGCCGCGCCCCTACCCGGCGCCAGGCCCGGGGTTGCGAGCGGTGATCTTCAACGTTGATCGTCGCATCTTCAAACTCGCTGCCACCGCCAAGATGCTCCTGAATTCTTTTTTTTAGTGGCATCTTCATTAGTAATCATGATAAACCTATAGAGCTCTGGTTATTCTTCAGATCATTAATTATAACAACAATAGCATAATAATAACAGCAAACTCCCAGTACTAATTACCAGTTGCTGTGCTAAGCATTTTATTTATATTTATGAATTTAACTTTCCTGAAACACCCAGTGAGGTAGATACTGTGATAATCTCCCCTCCCCCACCCCTTTTCAAGAGACAAAACACTGAGGCACAGAGAGGTTAAGTAATATGGCCAAATTCACCTCCCTAGTAAGGGTTAGAGCAAAGATTTAAATCCAGTCCGGCTCCAGAGCGCCTGTTTTTCACTATTACGCTGTATTGTCTCTTATTGTAAATCAATTATACCTGGAAATATTTACTAGGTCAACAAGATAGCATATTAAAACTAGTTCCCCTATTTGCAATAATAATAATGTTTGAAATGATAACGTCTAGCCAGTATTTTGAAAGACTGGCACTTAGAGGGAGAGATGTATTAGTTCATGGAAAGGTCTCTTTTTGGCTACAAAGCTCAAAACTTAATTTCTTCATTATAACAGAAAAGAACCTCATATGTCATTTGTGTAGGTTTTGCATATATGGAGGAATTGTGAATTGAAGTTTCCCAAGACTTCACGTAGGATTTGGAAACTTTCAAGACTGGAACAGCCAGAAAGTAGAATCCTCATTGAACACTTGCAACATTCAGACAAGATCCAAGGAAAGCTACACTGTTTTAAGTAAGGCTAAACTTGCCCTAAGGATAAAGCTAATTCATGCTTATAAACACAAAGTTTATAAGAAGCCTTGAAAAGGTTAAGGTACTCTAGGACTGTCTACCAGAATGCCTACTTATGGCCTCTAGGTGCATTGTTGGCATTAGCATGAAAGGGTGGCTTAATGCTCCAAAAGTGGGATTTCTAGCAAGCAAGACAGAAAGTAAATGGCCTTTTATGACCTAGTATTAGAAGTTATATTATATAATTTTCAATACCAAGGTAGGCACAAGCCTGTTTTACTTCAAGGTGGAGTGAGGATGGAGGGGAGGGTGTGGACCATACACATCAACTTTTAATGAGAAATGTACCTAGTATTTGCTAATTTTTTAAAAATAGCCACATCCTTTCCGTTGGGAATAAATTTTGTTTCCTCTGACATGAAATATACACTTTTTCCTTCCAATGCAAACAATAGTCTCATATCAATATAGCATCAGGTTCAGGCTTCTTACACAGGATATTTTTGTAAGCTAAATCAGATCCAGGAGCAGATAAAGGAAAGTCCTATCCTTTGTTGTACTTACTCTTGGTCTGAAGACTTGTGAACTAAAAGAATAAAGTTTTTGGCTCCCACACACCCAAAGCGTAGGAAAAATGCAACAGACACTTCCATCTACGAGTGAGAAAATGGATGCACACAGCAGTCAATAATCAATAATAACTATAAGATACATCCAGGTAAAGTTCCTAGATTTTGGTTTGAGTCCAATCTTCCTTTCTAGGAAATGGTGAAAGATTTTTTTCCCTAAAACATGGATTAAATATTATAAGTTGATTTGTTTCTGTATGTTGGCTTGCATATATTAAAAGATAAAAGACACTAGAAGCCAAATAGTGTTAACGTAATACTGTTTATCTTTGTCTTTGTCATGTAATAGTCATTGATTATAGAATTAATTCTGGAGTATTAATTACACATTAATACTTCAAGGAATTAACGTTGAATAAACAAGTTTACAGGTGGAATCAACAGAACAACATATGAATCAGTTTCTGATTATCCTCAATCTTTCTTGGTCTCATGTATTCAGACGATTGCCAGGCATTGGTCGAATTATCTATTTAAAATGCTATATTGATTTTGTTATAAGAAACATTTGATTTAAAAATATCAATAAAAGTTCTCACGATAGTTAAGGTACTGTATTTCAAATAGGTGTTAATAATTAGTTCTTGCTGTTAGCTATGCAATACAACCTTTTGATGTCTGTATTTTATAACTCAATATTATTTATATGAATAGCTTAGCTATAAAAAGCTCTTTTAAATTAGTTATGTGTCTTTTAAAATAATTACCTTAAAATATAAACTGACATTGATTCTGATTTTGCTAAAATAGTAAAGTACAGAAGAAACATTATAATATAGAGGTAGCCTCACTTTTCAATATTTTTATATCTAAGAATAATATATATGTGTATATCTCTATAATACCAACCTTTTAATAATTTAAATTTGGATTATTCAATTACTTGAATTGAACATTAATATTCCAGAATTCAGTTGCATTTGAAGAAGCAAGAAATGTTGCTTTGAACTTCAAAATATCAGACCCAAGTCTGATTTTTAAATCGATGTTTATAATTAACATTTATAATTGACTGAGCTCACCAAATGCTTAGCTCAATTAAGCAAAAAAATACAGTTTATCTTGTGCATGAAATTACAAAGTCTCTTGGGATTTGATTGACTTAAAGTTTTAAATAATTTAATTAAAGATATATTTATTATTTTAAAGTCATTTTTGTAATTGATAAGACATGTTAAAACATGAGCTTTTAGAAGAACACACCCTATGCAATATGGCTAAATATTTATCGTAATAAGGAAAACTCAACATAATATTTACAGCTTTTAGAATACTTATTTGCCCATGGATTTATTAGTAACATACCAAGAAAAAATATGAAGCACTATCTAAGGATAAACTCCTGGAACAGGTTAATAGTGTCAGTCTCCCACTAAAATGTAAGAATTCATAAAATTAAAATCAATATTTAGTAATTTATTTTTTCAATTGCCCCTTTTATGGGTGAAAATAAACCTTATACCCATCCTCATGGAGCTTACATAATAATCAGGGAGAACTAGAGGACACAAACAGTACAAATATGTGTTTGCAAATAGCCAGTGAAAATTGCTGGGAAGAAAATGTGGATAAGAAGATGAAGCATAAATGATGATAACTATTTTAGGTAGAGTGGGCAGGGACAGCCTCTCTAAATAGGTGATATTTGAATAGAGATGTACATGAAGTTAAAGTAAACTATACAAATGTCTGGAGGGAAACATCCTAGGACGTAGTTCAAACGTTACCAGGCAAGAGCAAGAATGATTGTCGCATGAACAGCAAAGGGGCCAGGATGACAAGAATGTAGTAAGGGAGAGGGATGATTGATAAAGTAACAGAGATCATTAGGGGGCATTTCTTATAATGCCTGTAGGCCAGGGTTAAGGAATTTAAAGTTTGGTCTAAGGTCTAAACATTGTAAGTATTGTGTTAATGGATTACTTCAGCTTTTGTGAGATATACTATTTGTGGAAGCTGCAAAACTACAAAAAGGCCGTTGTATAAATTGTAATTTGCAAACATTACACTGAACTGTTGTATTTTTTATTGTATTTTTTAAAACAGTCTCTCTCTCGTCTCTCTTTGTTTATATAAAATATTTCTTTGGTTGCTGCCTGTGAAGTAACTGATGTGGAATATTCCTCTGATTCTACTACTCTTCCAAAATTTCAGTTGTATAATATATATGGCATGACATATGACAGAAAAACCACCTTATACATTTTTTTTACATGAAAAAACAATGCTGCTGTGTTTCTATTTGGTGTCTAGTAGGAACGTTAAATTGCAGCTTGATGATGTCTTCAAAAAATCTACTTCCTCCTTGATGGAATCACTGCCTCCCTAATGATTCATATGGAATTTCAAATTTTTCTTAACTCACTAAGGGTGTATATATACACTTACACAAAAAATGAAAACCAAATGAAAAATAAAGAAAAGATCATTTTAGCATTATTTTTGTAATATCCTTATATATCAGTGCTAATATAGATGAAAACATCAATAGTATTTTAACTCTTTTATCAACTTTCTGACCAAAACAATCCAACTTTAATAAACTACCCATACAGATAAAAATTATTTTAATTCTCATTGGAAATGCCTGTATTCCCTAGTTTTACAGAGAAAAAATGATTCTTACAGTTATTTGAATCCTTGACAGATTCTCCCTCAAGGTGTGATGATGTAGACCTACCTAAGGGTCACACAACACCAGAGCTATTTTAGTGTTTCCCTAAAGGTAAACTTCCATTGAAATTTTTTACTTCTAACATACTTGTATTTTAATCTTTGAATCTGTGCTTTAAAACATATGCTCAGAGACTAATAATCCTTATACATAGCTAGTTTATATGATTCATTTAGATAGTCTGGAAATAAAGCATGTGTTTCTCTTTAATTGCTTGGAAATTAATAAGTATTAGAAATATTAAAAATTAAATTATAATTGCCCAAATATTTTTGGCACACTTTAAACAGATGAGTATTTTATACTGTCCTTTCTCTATTTTTTTTGTGACAGAGTCTCGCTCTGTCACCAGGTTGGAGTGCAGTGGCGCAATCTCAGCTAACTGCAACCTCTGCCTCCCGAGTTCCAGCGATTCTCCTGCCTCAACCTCCCTAGGAGCTGGGACTACAGGTGCGCACCACCATGCTCAGCTAATTTTTGTATTTTTAGTAGAGACTGGGTCTCACCATGTTGGCCAGGATGGTCCCGATCTCTTGATCTCTTGATCCACCCCCCTCGGCCTCCCAAAGTGCTGGGATTGCAGGCATGAGCCACAGTGCCTGGCCTATACTATCCTTTCTCTTAATGTTAAAGACCTTTATCATTGGCTGGGCGCAATGGCTCACATGTGTAATCCCAGCATTTTAGGAGGCTGAGACAGGAGGATTCCTTGAAGCCAGGAGTTTGACACCAGCCTAGGCAAGAAAGCAAGCCCCCATCACAATAAAAAATAAAGTTTTAACAAAACCTTTATTATTCACTGGGAAGCTTATTATTTTCAACTTTTCCATTCTTTTGTTTAACACTTGTGGACTATTACTGAATTTTCTCCTCTACAAACTCTTCTGTATGATGCAATAAAAACTCATTTAGGAAAAGTCTTCTCATGCAAATTTCCCAAGGCAAGCAAGATTACCAAATGGATTATCAATGACCTTGGATGGAAAGATACATTAAAATTAATATATTCTTGGATTTTTAAAATGTATTGTTATGAAATAAAATTGATTCCTGTCTGCATATCACATGGAGGAATTGACTACACCTCATCTCTTCACACAAATTTCTCAATTGTATTTTCTCAAGATTTAGCTGACATAGTTTTATGTGCTTATTCTGTCCAATGACAAGGAAGCAGGAAATGATCAAGTGAAACCAAACTCCAAGGAGCCTTAGGGAAGTATCTATACATTTGCTATAGACAGAAGGGAATGGGAGTTAGCAATTATTAAGAGCTTACTCTGGCCTGCTACTCTGCTCTGGTCTTTATATATGTATGAAGTCATTTAATTCCCATAACAATTTTTGAGGTAGGAATTATTTACTCCACTCTTAAAAAATGATGAAACCGAGGCCCATTGAGGATAGCAAATAGCCAGAGTGAAAAAGTAGATAGCAAAGCAGGAGTCCCACTTGGTCTGTTTAAATGAGGATGGAACATATTGTTGCTATAATATCAGTCAGCCAACTGTGACTATGAAGAGAATATCACATGGGAAAGGGCAGGTAATAGGATGTCAGTGGTTAAGGCTGCTTAGAAGTAAGAGACTTCAGAGTTACTGGGGAGATGGCAGAGGCACTCATCTCCTACATCATTTGGATCCAAAACCAGACTGTGAGCAGAGAGTGATCTTCCCTGTGGCACCTTCTCTGTGTGTAATGTGAACGTGAAGGCAAAACTGGAGAGAGGAGAATGCAGAGGAAGCTGATTTCCCTTGAGCTCTGGTACCAAGTGACTGGGAGGGAGCCACAATTCTGAATACAGCAGGGAGAACTTATGTATCTTGATTGGAAATAAAAGCTGAATAATACCATAGTACCAATCAACTTATTGAAATAAGCCTGAATAACATTATCTCTTTGATATTTATCAGTATGATAGTAAAATGCTTTTCATATTAAAAAGTGATATTTTTCTTTATGTTTAGGCTTTTCAGTAACTATTAATAATTTTTAGAACAGATTGTTGACAAAGTCTGGTCATATTTGTATTTCCTCAAAATTAACAACTGAATTGAATGTCAGATTTATTCATCTTGCATAGATGAATTCATCATCCCCATTGCATAGAATAGTGCCTGGCACAAGGTCCTTAGTACATGTTGTTGAGTAAATGATATATGAGTGATGTGTCTAAGAATGTTATTTGCACCTGTCTTTATAATAAAATCCCTGAATAAATAAATATAATTAATTGGCATCATATTAATTATCAAAACAGGCACAACAGAATATGCTAGTCAGTACAATTTTAGTAGTACTGTTATAAATTGGGTGGAATATTAGATAGAGGAACTTATTAATAAAACTTTTGCCTAGTACGCAAATCTCCTCCATAGCCCCTGCTATAGGCAGTGAGCTTTGAATTACTTCTCATGGCAGGAAATCATTACTTAACTAGTAGGTCATTACGCTTTACATCTAGTGATTTTGAAGCTTTCTCACACTGTGTCAAAATTATCCTCCGAAAATACATATCTTAAATGTATTTTAGCCCATATTAATATGTATTTTAGTAACATAAATTAATATCATTAATAATTACACTTGAATCATTTGAATACTGCTTCTTAACTTTATTATTATAAAATAAACATTTCCCTAAAATGTTTGTATCTTGTTTTAGTTCATCTTTTGCTCACAAATACCATTTATTTTTATGTTCACTATAGAAAGTTATAGTCATACATCTAGAAAATATCTTAAAAGTTTTCAAGTACTCTAAAGAGATAAACACTAATAAAATCACATATATAATATACATAACATATTAATAGGTCTATATAATAAGATATGAAATTTGAATCTTTTTAATTCTGCTTCTTAACTTTAATATTGTAAAATAAACATTTTTCTGTTATGTTAACATACACACTGTAATAATGGAAAATACTTATAATATGAATGTACACTTTTCATGTTATTTAATGTTTATTTTCTTGTTTTCTATTATGAGCTGTACTGCAAAACTCTGTATAAATTTTTCCTACATTAATGATTACTTTTCTTTTAAATGTTTGTAAAATATTTCTAGCCTGCAAAAAATTGGACAGAATAAGGTTTGAATGTTTGTGTTCCTCCAAAATTTATGTAGAAATGTAATTTCCATTGTGGGAGGTATTAAGAAGTGAGGTCTTTTGGGAAATAATTAAGTTATGAGGGATCTGCTTTTGTGAGTGGGATTAATGACCTTAAAAAAGAGTCTTTAGAGAGCTGTCTGAGGCTTCTGTCCCTTCAACTATGAGAGGCTATAGTGCTTTTGCCCTCTGAAGGACACAGCAACAAGGCTCTACCTTGGAAGCAAGGAACAAGACTTTACCAGATACTACATTTGCTGGCACCTTGACCTTGGATTTCTCAGCCTCCAGAACTATGAGCAATAAGCGTTCATTATTTATTAATTATCCAGTTGAAGGTATTTTGTTTTAGTAGCAGGAATGGACTAAGGCAATATATAATAAACACTTATGTTCCCAACTCACAGATTTTTTTTAACATTTGATATGTATTAGTGATCATTTGTTTGAGGAGCTATGACATGGACTCAGTTTGAATCCTTCCTAACATAATCAATGAATAGTGTTTTTGATATTTTTAAGTGTCACATATATAATATACTATATTTTACAATTTTTCTTAACATTTATTTATAAAAATAAAAATATATCAGTTCATTCTCATTTTAACTGAAATATATGATGTATGTAATTACTTCAAGTCCAAGAATTGACAACTGTTTCCATGAAACCACTTTACTGTATGGTTTGGTTACAGTTAGCCAACAGATGTATGTGAGTGAGAAGAAATCACTCCTCTCAGTATATTGTAGTAGTCAGACATGATGACAGACAAATATGGAAGTGCCCAGAAGTATTCAACATCCAGCTTTTTTCTTCCCAATTACTATTCCCACCAACCAATAGCATTTTTGAGTCAACCCTCAAGCATTTCACTGCAATTTTCATAGTGATGACAGCTGCCACATATCTCCCTATGAGCTCTCTGTTGATTTTGGCAGTCAGACTGAAAATAAACAAACCAACAAAAGTCTGGAATTTTCCTGTAAGTTCCAACCAACCAACTTACACAAATGTTTTTGTTGGTGATTTTCTCTGATCCTCCACATCCCTTATATACTCTATGCCTTAAGTTCTCCAGATATTTCTATATTTATGTAAGCTCCAATTTCTGTTGCAAATAATCTGTTCCAATCAAACATTTAATTTGCTCTATTTTTTTTTAGACACTGACTGATATGCCACTTATAGCTGAATATGTACCATTTATGGATGTCCTTTCTATATTGTCTCATCCTGGTTGCCATATATAGGCACAATCTTATAAAAATAGATCATTTTTTATAATAAACCATAATGGAAAAAATCACGTTTTTACCAAAATTATAATGTGGATAAATTCATTAACTTTTTTTATTTTTAGTGAGTCTAAATTATTAAAAAGCAACAAATGTTATGACATCTCCTCGCCTTTCTTCCTATTATTATGAGCACCTTATGCAGTGATTTCATAATTTTAATTCATATCATTGTCTAACAGAGTATATGTCCGCTACATAAACACATCATGCAGATACCAGCCAAACTGCTGAAATGATGCATCATTCAACATTGCTTAATAACTAAGAAAACAATTGTATTTTTAATTGCTTAATAACTAAGAAAAAAATTGTATTTTTAAATTAGAATGTGCAATAATGGTCTTTTAAAGACCCCAAAATAAAGAATTTTTGAAAACCCAACATATATTCTTGAATTGAGATGCAATTCGAATGCCATAAAATTCTCCTTTAAAGTCTTTAATTCAGTGGATTTTAGTATGATTACAGAGGTGTGTAACCATCACCACTACCTAATTTTAAAATATATTCATCATCACCCCCTTCAAAACCCCATCATCACCCCCTTCAAAACCCCATACACAATGGCAGTCCTCTTCATTTGCCACTCCCATCAGCCCCTTATAATCATAACCCATAAACATATTATTTATATCCTGAGTGGCTGCATTTGGTATTTGGTCATCTTAATAACAAAGGAAGGAAAAGAATTCAATAATTTATGTATATATAGACGTTGGACACTTTATAGAATCATATAATATAGATTAGACAATAGGTAAAAATACAGAAAAAGTAGCAGGATAGTAGTTGAGATTTACCAGCTTTGGCTCTGAAAATAAAATTTTGAATACTAACATCTATATACCATGATTACTGGGTGTGATTGCTTGCAAAATTGGCAACAAATGTCTTCATGTCCTTCCATCAAGAAGCAGAGTTAACTTCTCACAACACTTGATTCTGAGACGCCCTTGCTTTGGTGACTAAAATGCAATGACGGGATGACATTCAAGTTCTAATACTGGACCACAAGAAGATTTGTATGCCTCTTCTTGTTCTTCTGGAATTTTGTGGCTCCATGTGAACAAGCCCGATCTAGCCTACTAGAGGGAGAGAGATCATGTGGAGAAGAACTGAAGCACTCCAGACAGTCCTCAGTTGACATAACAACTGAGTGCAGATGCACGAGTGAGCACCGAGAGAGTGGTCATTATTTAGCTATTAAAAAAAAAAGGATGTTATAAACATCGTTTAACACGTATCTTGAGAAACCTAAACTTGTAGATTTCTAAAGAGCATATCTGAGAGTGGAAGTGTAAGATCTGAGATAATATATTTGTGTAGCTTTAGTAGATAATGCCAAACTATTTTCTGGCTAGGCATGGTGGCTCATGCCTGTAATCCCAGCACTTTGGGAGGCTGAGGCAGGTGGATCACCTGAAGTCAGGAGTTCGAGACCAGCCTGGCCAACTTGGTGAAACCCCTTCTCTACTAAAAATACAAAATTAACCAGGCTTGGTGGCACACGCCTATAATCCCAGCTATTTGGGATGCTGAGGCAGGAGAATCACTTGAACCCGGGAGGTGGATGTTGCAGTGAGCCGAGATCACAACGTTGTACTCCAGCTCGGCAGAAAGTGAAACTCCATCTCAAAAAAAAAAACAAAACGAAACAAAAAACAACAAAAAAAAAAACCTTTTTCCAAAGTGGTTAGAATAAAGTTTGGTTACCTTGTCCACATTCTCACCAGTAGTAAGTAGAACCAAACATTTTAAAATCTAGCCATTCTTTGATGTTACTTAGTGATTTCTCATTGTCATTTTTATTTTATTTCACATCAGAATAAGTTTTACCAATTAGATCACAATGTACTCAGAAAAACGTAGAAATAACAGAATTCCATTTTCACATCCTACAACTTTAAATGCTTACTTCACTTAGTGATCTTTTCTATATCCTTCCTTTCTGTATTTGAGAGCATGTGATAGTTTATTTCTACTGGCAGACATATATGATGAGTATAACTAGAGTTAAAAAGCTGCATATACACACACATGCAGAGGTACACAGGTGCATTCATTCATAAATACATAGCATACACTCATAAATATGTAGTATTAGTAGTTAGCTTTATTATTTTATTTATTCCTTTGTCTATGCAAACATATTTATTGAATATTTTTTTCTGCCAAAGATTCTGTATACCCTGACATAAATTCTCCTTCTATACTGAGATTACATTCTGGTAAGTGTCATGGACTATCAAACGCTATCACTATGTATTGAGGAAAATAGTATAAGGAATGAGAGTATGATAAAAGATTATTTAATAGCTAGTTTGGAAAAGAGAGTTATTGATAGAAGTGCCGTTTCACCTGGGAGCTAACTGAAGGATTGATGTTACCCATTGTATTTTTCCTATTGCTTCTGTAAAAAAGTTACCACACACTTGGTGGCTTACAGAAACAGAAAGTAAATTATCTCACAATTTTCGAGGTCATAAAACTAAAATAGGTTTCACCGAGCTAAAATCAACGCGGTGGCAAGATTGTATTCCTTCTAGAGGCTCTAGGAGAAAATCCATCCCTCTTTGTTTTCCAGTTTAAAGATTAGTTCACCTGAATTTCTTGGTTTGTGGCCTTTTCCTTCAACTGCCAAGCCAGCAATCATATACCACTCTAAACTCTGCTTTCGTTGCCACATTTTCTCTGACTCTTTTGTCTCCCTCTTTCATCTTTTAAATATTCTAATGATTACATTGGGCCCACCAGGTTAATACAGGATACTCTGCCCATATCAAGGAACTTAGTTTAATCCACTTGCACAGTCTCTTTTGCTATGTAAAGTAACATCCACAGGTTTGAGAGATGAGGTTGCTGACATCCTAGATGTGGGGGCATTATTTTGCATGCCACACCCATGCTGGGGAGGAGCAATCATTCAAAGAGAAGTGTTCCAGTCACAGAAAACAGTCTCTGTTTCCTTAAGGGATCTGACAGAATTAACATAGCTAAAGCAGGAAGCAAGACATCTTACTAAGAGCAATAGTTATCAATCACAAATACTAAATATTTAGAGATATGTTTGAAATTACTTCAAAATGCCAAATATTTTACACATTTTTAAAGCTGGATTCAGAAATAGGATATGGAAATGGAGGACATTTGTGTATCTGTGCCTTTACAGTGGAGGAAGATCACAAGTGGAAGCAGTTATCTATAAATTAAAACATAAAATAGATGTTTTGTCTTCAAAAACTTGGAAGACTTTTAATTTTCCTCCAGTCCTATGTCTAATTTTTTATAATTAATTAATTAATTAATTTAGAGATAGGATCTCACTCTGTCACCCAGGCTGGAGCACAGTTGTGCAATCATAGCTCACTGCAACCTCAAATACTAGAGCTCTTCAGCCTCTGGAGTAGCAGATGGAACCACAGGTGCACGCCACCACACCCGGTTAACCATGTTTAATTTTAAACAGTTCAAAAAGCCATATTTTTATTTTTAATGTCAAATAATTTATGTGGTGATATACACTGTTGTTTTGCTTTATGTATCTAGAGAGTTTATTCAATTTATCTTTTACAGATATAAAGACAGAATCATGTAGGTGTTATAAAATTATGCTACAAATGACGAAAATAGCACATGTTAATGGGATTTGGAAGTTGGAAATAGTGTTTTCTGTGCACCATAATCTGTTTATTTAGAACATATAAATATGCAGTGCTTTTAAGAATATACCCTCCTGTGTCCCTTATAAAATTTCTCTTTTCACAAGTTAGTATATTTTGAAAAAAGTTTATGACTAATATGATATTTCTCAATACTTCCAAGAATATAAAGCAGAGAAAACAGTTAAATAAAGTATATTTTCTGGTGAGAAGAGGTAAAAAGCAAGTCAATGTATTTTCTCAATGATGGCTTATATGACAAATACTAGCATAATGACAGAAAAAAATTGTCATAAAAGGAAATTGATTGAAGGTATGTTCAAATACATTACGAAAGTTTATGATTTGTTGAGTATTAGATATTTACAAAATATAATTTTAGAATTTGGCTTATGTTGATTTCCATAACTTCATATATTGAACAAAGCTCCATTGGAAAACTATTAAAATGGCCATTGCTATTACATACATTTTTGCTCTTGCTGAATTCTGTTTGATTATGCCAATATTCACGGCAATAAGTGACATGGACTTGTGACCTCTTTTCTGGTTAAAACAGAGGATAAGCAAAACCGCTTTCAGTATGTTAAATCCAACAGTAAATCTTGGAGCCTGAAACAGAGAAAAATGCAATCTTTTTATGTAGTGGCTTTATGAAAAATCAATGACTGATCTCCAAAGTAATTGATTCATATCACTTTTTCTCTATAAATCCAGACTGTGGATGGTAATTATTTTTAAATTTTTTAAAATTTTTCTCATATAGAGCAGCACAAAAGACAACTACCTTGAAAACTAAAGTCTGCAAAATGTTGGCAAGGGCAAAGAAGACTGTGCACCACTTATTTCTGACAAGAAAAATGATTCTAATGTCCCTAACATACCACCTTTCTCCTTTCTATAGAATGCATCAATCTATGAATGTCACTTTTGCGGCAGTCATGATTTGTATTCTTCCTGGCAGCTCTCCTACTTTACAGGCCCTAAAATAAGTTTGGTTATAGCCTACAACTGCAGGAGAGCAAAAATCCATTTCCTGTATCCATTTCCGTGGCTCACACCCATTCGATGTTGTTGTCTTTCTGATACTTGCCACCAAAGTTATTGATGATGTTACAAAATGGACAGACTGAGAATTAGACGCTTTTCACAAGATCTGATAATTAAGTAATAATAAGGAACCAAATCTGTAAAAGCAAAGCAAAAATATTTTACAATACAGGCCCCAAAGACAAAAGAAATCCTTATCATTTTCTGTTATAAAACAGACCTATAATTTGCAAATAATGCAAGTGAAGGTGCTTTAATCTTGTATTATATCTGTTTATGGCTTTTATCCTAAATTAATTCATGCTTTTTAAAGTAATATGTAAATGTGAAATTACACAAGTGCAATCTAATTTTAATGCTAATTAATCTTCTATCCAACACATTCTTATTTACTAGCTAGTTAAATTTGCCACAAATTTTGGATAACAACGGGATCATTAAATAGTTTATTTTGGAAATTTTGATCTTTTCAAGTATCTCTCTTTTCTACCAATTTCTACAATTGTGTCTTGTAGCACAAGATACAATTTTTTTCCTGAAGTAGAATAACTGTGCTTCCAATAAGGAAAATATTTGAGTATTAAATAAATATTTCTAAAAGATATATTACGATAGGCAACATTAATAGATAGACAATTAAGGTCAATTAATATTGTAATGATATTGGAAATAAATTTTCAGCAGGTACAAGACTTTGTTTACTCAACATGGGATCACAATAGTGTATCAACTGTGAGCGGGAGAAAGGCAATAGGTGCTTAACTGGAGAGATGTGCTAAAACATGGATTCGGTGCATAAACAAAAACAAGGATTTAATTTCTGGTTAAGATGAAAAAGATGAGAACTAGACGATGGGCAAAAATTAATGCATGTATTATTCAATTTTAAGAATTGCTATAAAATAGTATAATCAGAAAACATGGCATTGGTGAAATAGACATACTGATGAATAGGACAGAACAGAGACTGCAGAAAGAAAAGACCTACATGAGTAGAGTCAATTGATTTCAACACATATATGGAGAAAACTCAATGAAGAATGGATTCTTTCAAGAAGTGGTGCTGGGACATTTGAACATCTTGTGCAAAGAAGAAAAAAAAAAAAAAAAGAATCTAGACCAGACCTTACACCTTTCACAAAAACTAATCCAAAATGAATTTAAGACATAATACAAGATAAAAAGGATAAAACCTCAGGAAGAGGACACAGAAGAAAATTTATATGACTTTAAGCATGTTGATGAGATTTTAGATAAAACTTAAAAGCACAATCTGTGAAAGAAAAAGTAATAATTTGGCTTATTGAAATTAAAAACTTATCTGCAAAAGGCACTGTAAAGATAAAAAGGAGGAAATATTTGACATTTCTGATAAAGGGCTTCTTATCTAGAATACAAAAAAAAAAGAAAAAACCCTTAAGTTAACAATGTAAAAATGTGCAAAAAAATAAAATCTGAACAGACACCTTATCAAAGAAGACATAAAAATGATAAGTAAATACATGAAAAGATAATCAATATCATTTGTCATTAGGGAAATGCAAATTAAAACAACTAAGAGACACCACTACATGTCTATGAGTGGCTAAAACCCAAAACCTGACGATTCAATTACTGGTAAGGGTGGGAGCAACAGGAACTCTCATTCATTGCTGGTTGGAATTAAAAATAGTGAGACCATTTGAGAAGACAGTTTGCCAGTTGCACATGAAGCTAAACATATATTTAGCATACTCAACAATGGCATTCTTTTTTTTTTTTTTTTTTTTTTGACGGAGTCTCGCTCTGTCGCCCACGCTGGAGTGCAGTGGCACAATCTCGGCTCACTGCAAGCTGCGCCTCCCGGGTTCACGCCATTCTCCTGCCTCAGCCTCCCGAGTAGCTGGGACTACAGGGGCCCGCCACCATGCCCGGCTAATTTTTTTGTATTTTTAGTAGAGACGGGGTTTCATCATGTTAGCCAGGATGGTCTCGATCTCCTGACCTCGTGATCCGCCTGCCTTGGCCTCCCAAAGTGCTGGGATTACAGACGTGAGCCACCGCATCCGGCCCAACAATGGCATTCTTAAGCATTTAGCCAACTGATTTGAAAACTGAGTTTTATACTAAAACCTACACACTGAAGTTTATAGAAGTTTTCTTCTTCATAATTATCAAAAACTGAAAACAGCAAAGATATTTAATAGGTGAAAAGACAAACTGTGGTACATCCATAGAATAAAATATAACTTAGCAATTAAAAGGAATGGGCTAGGGCTATCAACCTAAACAACTTGGATGAATCTTGAATGGATATTATTAGTGAAAAAAGTAAGTCTGTAAAGGCAACATACTCTATAATTCCATTCATATGACATTCTAGAAAAAGCTAAACTATTTATGGAAACAGAACAAAGATTGCCAGTAATCTTGTGAGATAAAGGAGAGCTGAATATATGGAGCACAGGGAATTTTATAAGGCTATGAAAGTATTCTGTTTGATACTGTATTGGTTAAGATGGATAGTGATAACAGTGGATACACAACACTGTGTATTTGTCAGAACACATAGAGCCTTAAAACACAAAGAGTGAATGTTATGTATGCAAATTTTAAAACATCAGTTAAGAGATGTGGGGACTCTAGAATGTAGACTGTGATGAAAAAATTTACTACGAATGTATAGCATAACATAATTGATGATGATGGGTGAGAAAAAGCTGAACTAAGTAATTTTGGAAATGAATGGGGTATGTAAAAATAAAGACAAAAGGAAGTGTATCTAGGTACTGCATGCTAGTAGTTAAAAGTATTTTCCATTGGAGTAAAGTATAACAATTCCAAAACCACACTAATGAATGCTGAGCTTTAGCAGCTAAGTGTGTGGTTGGGTTCCAGTGAGAGCCAGGTTTTTCACTCTTAGATTGGTAATTTATAGATAAGCAAGAAGAGAAGTCCGGAATGATACATATATTAATGGATTAGAATTGGAGTCATCAATATAAACTCATATTTACTTTAACATAAATAGGTTAATAGTCAGTTTGGGCTGCTATAACAGAATATCATGGATTGAGTGTCCAAAACAAACATTTGTTTCTCACAGATCTGGAGGCTGGAAGTTCAATATCAAGATGCCACTATAGTCAACTTCTTGGTGAGGGTCCTCCTCCTGGTTCACAAAACAGCTGCTTCCTCCCTGTACCATCACTTGACAAAGAGAGAAAGTTCTGTCCTTTCATCTCCCTACAGGTCCACTAATCTGATCATGGAGCCTCCATACTCATGATCTAATCTAACCCTAGTTTCTTCCCAAAAGCCCTACCTCCAAATACCATCACATTGGGAGTTAAGGTTTTAACATATGAATTTTGGGGGATGCAAGCATTCAATCCAGAGCACAGATGTACAAACACAGATGATATATAATCTATATATTATATGTAACCCACACATCATATGTACATACATGTCTAACATAAACACGCATATACAATCTGTATATGTGTACATTATAAATGTTTATAAATGTGTTTAATCCACTTAATTTGTATACATACACATTATAAATATGTTTATAAGATATATACACATTTCCTGGCTGTATCAGCTGTAAGGTCCTAGAAGCAATGAGAACAAAGTAGCAACGAATACACACAACACTCATATTATGGTTTCCAACACTGTTCTCTTACAAAAAGAATCAGTGCTCCTTGGAAAAATGGATGATTCTAAGACTAGGACAGGAAATATACAAGATGAGTATGGAGCACATTTTTTACCAAATGTAAACAGGCGCTCAAAACAAAAAAAAACTATTTAAAAAACAATGAGTATATGTCAAAAGAACATCATAGCTAAATGAAAGAGATCCCAATGGCCACAGGTAGAAGAATTTGAATAAGAAAAAAAAGTCATAGTGTGATAACCCAAATTATAAAGTAAATATCTGAGAGTCCAAAGGATATAAAGAAACCATTTAATAAGGGAATAAAAAGTGACTAATTCTGTTGGAAGCAACTTTATCTCAGCTTATTTAACATAAAGAGAGCCAAGTCTCTTGGGATTAATGTTAAACTCCCTGTTAACTAGAAAAGGGGCTGGTAAACTAGCCTCTCCAGCCACCTGTTTTGTACACTTTAAGGTGGTTGGTTGCATTTTTAAATGGTTAAGGGCAAAAGAATACCCTGTGGGATGTGGAATTTAAATTTGTGTCCAGTTTTATTGGGAAAAAAATACACAGATGGGGAACATATGCAAATCCCCTATGCAGAAAAAGTCAAATAATTTATGCAGATACTTCCCCTCAAGGGGGT